>NC_000009.12:38040303-38191818 GCF_000001405.40 Homo sapiens | reverse complement strand
GGTGATGTAAGCAGAAGCCATTTGAGGGGAGTTTCCCGAGAGCCTTTTTAGCACTGTCTGTCCTTAGACTCTGCTCTGGGCCTCCTGCTTTAGAGGGCCTCACTCGAATGTCTCTCTCTCTCTCTCTCTCTCTCTCTCTCTCTCTCTCACACACACACACACACACACACACACACACACACACACACAGACACACACAGAGCTATGGTTTGAATGTGTACCCCAAAGTTCATGTGTTGGAAGCTTAATCCCCAATGCAGTAGTGTTGACAGGTGGGACCTTTAAGAGGTGATTAGGTCATGAGGACTCTGCCTTCCTGAATGGGCTAATGTCACGGTCTTGAGTTATCAGGAGTGGGTTCCTGATAAGGAAAGGGGTTAGGCACCCCATCCCCTTTCTCGCACACTCTCGCATCATCCCTCCATGTTAGGATGCACCAAAAATGCCCTCACCAGAGGCAACCCCTCCATCTTGGACTCACTAAGCCTCCAGAGCTGTAAGAAACAAATTCTTTTTCTTTATCAATTACCCAGTCTCAGATATTCTGTTATAGAAACACAAAACAGACTAGGATGGCCACACACACACACATAACTATTTCCTAACAAACATAAAGGTGGTCTCTATCATCTGGGATCAGGTCCTCAACACAGACACAGTGCAATCCATACCCCAAATATTCATTCTTATCAACACCACGCAAGCCCAGGGATACACACGTTCACAACTCTTGCCCTCCCCTATGTCCTTGAAACACTCTGAGCCTGGAAATTTTGCATCTCTGTGCCTGAGGACATTGGAGGTAGATGCTGCTCAGAGAGCAGGAGGATTTGAATGGCAGAAGAGCTTAGTTAATGGAAAAACACAAGTTGCTTGTTAATTCCTTCCCAGCAGATATCATAGGTTTAATATTCCTACACAACAAATTAGCATTTCCCAGTTGTCCCAAACATCTATTTTCTTGCTTCTCCTCAAGTTCTAGCCCACTATTCTGAAGGTTCTTACCAATTACAGGGCATTCATGGCAATTGTATCTGGCAGCTGAAGAACATGTTGCCATATTCAACAACTCACATTGCTCTGAAATCTGCAATATGTAGGTATAAGCAGAATTGCATGAAGAATGATAGGAAGCCTTTCTGCCGGCAATCACATAGATATTGAATGGTAGAAGGTCAAGTTTTATTTTCATAGAAATGTTTAATAAGATTTATTTAAATTTGTTAGAGTTAAATAAAATTTAGCTTTATTTAAGTAATGTTAATATGCATGAATTAGAATTAGCATTTTACTTTTTTAAAATTTTTTTAATGTGAGATGGGTAACGTGCCAACGTCGTATCAAGGTTCACAAGGGTGACATCTCACACATGCACGTGAACACACAATCATGCTTGTGAACTACAAAAGAATCTTACCTTTTAATTTGTTAAATTATGACTTCTTTAGGAAAAAACTTCTCTAGAAGATGTACACAAAAAATAATTTTAATTATTGAATTTCTATGTTCACTTCTTTTTCTTTTTTTTTTGAGATGGAGTCTCACTCTGTCGCCCAGGCTGAAGTGCAGTGGTGCAATCTCAGCTCACTGCAAACTCTGCCTCCCAGGTTCAAGCAGTTCTCCTACCTCAGCCTCCCGAGTAGCTGGGATTACAAGTGTATGCCACCACACCTGGCTAATTTTTGTATTTTTGGTAGAGATGGGGTTTCACCATGTTGGTCAGGCTGGTCTTGAACTCCTGACCTCAAGCAATCTACCTGCCTTGGCCTCCCAAAGTGCTAAGATTACAGGCATGAGCCACCATGCCCAGCCATCTACGTTCACTTTAACTGACACTTCTTAATGAAAATAGATTCAAATTTTGTATATTTTGACTATAATTACATTTTTAAAAAATACTTTAGATCAGGGGTTGGCAACTTTTTCTTAAAGATGCAGAGAGTAAATATTTTAGGTTTGTTGGCCATACAGTCCCAGTTACAGCTACTCAGCTCCGCCACTGTAACATGAAGACAGCCACAGACAACATGTAAAAGATGGAGCATGATTGTGTTCCTATAAAATGTTTTAAACAAAAAACAGGTGGCTGGACTGCAGGATATGGTTGACCAATCCTTGCTTTAGACAAACAGTCCCCAACCTTTTTGGCATCAACAACAGATTTCCTGAAAGACAATTTTTCCATAGACCATGGTTGTCGGGGAATCATTTCAGGATGAAACTGTTCCACCTCATCAGGCATTAGATTCTCATGCAACCTAGATCCCTCGCATGCCCTGTTCAGGATAAGATTCACACGCCTATGAGACTCTAATGCCTCAGCTGATCTGATGGGAGGTGGGGCTCATGCAGTAATGCTTGCTCACCTGCCGCTCACCTCCTGCTGTGTGCCCCAGTTCCTAACAGAGAGCTGGTCTGCACCTTGGGGGTTGGGGACCCCTGCTTTAGAGCATTACTGTCAATAGAAGACAAATTTGTGAAAATTTTGTTATTAACATAATTATTGAATTTTGCTCAGATGATAGAAAAATAATGTATGGAATAAATACATCATGACTTTTGAATTATGTATACCTTGGTTTTATTATACTACCTTGGTCTCATTCAGACTTTGCCAGCTCATCAACAGAATCCCAGATATATTCAGTCACAATTAAATTCAATTGTCTTTGGTGCTTCGTGACTTCCAATCATAGAAAAATTATAGCTCAATTCCACATTGAATTTAGGTGCAAGAGAAAAAAAATACAGCTTGACATGTTTTTGCCTTTGTCATTTTGAGGGTAGGAAGATAAATATATAAACAGATAGTAGTTGGACCTCCCTTTGTACTTTTTTTTTTTTTTTTTTTTGAGACAGAGTCTTGTTCTGTCGCCCAGGCTGGAGTGCAGTGGTGCGATTTTGGCTCACTGCAATCTCCACCTCCTGGGGTTCAAGTGATTATCCTGCCTCAGCCTCCTGGGTTCAAGTGATTATCCTGCCTCAGCCTCCTGAGTAGCTAGGACTACAGGCATGTGCCACCATGCCCAGCTAATTTTTTATATTTTTGGTAGAGACAGGGTTTCACTATGTTGGCCAGGTTGGTCTCGATCTCCTGACCTTGTGATCCGCCTGCCTCAGCCTCCCAAAGTGCTGGGATTACAGGTGTGAGCCACCTCGCCTGGCCTTGTACTCTTATTGTGGGCCCTGCAAAAGGCAGGAGCAGCCTGAGACCTTTAAGAGGGGACAGACTTGGCTGACTTTCCCTTTTGCCTTCTTCCTGCTGCCTCCTTCCCCTTCCCTGGGACATGGATGTAACTGTCGGATTTTGGCTGCCATCTTGTGACCATGAGGAAGAGGCCAAGTGAATGGCAGAAACTTAGGCTTGGCCACCCCCAAAACTGCACCAAACCCAATTCAGAAACCACCCACCCCCAGGCCCTTACCATTTGAGGGAAATGAATCACTATTTGATTAAGTCATTACCCAAAATTAGGGTTTTCTGTTACAAGCAGCCAAACACAAATTCCTAGACATAAATTCCAACAAGGGTACGGGGTATGTGACTCTCATCCCACTGCTTTTCTGATGCATCTCTCCCAGCTCGCAACACACTGACATGTTCATTCATTCATTCATTCATCCAATAAGCATCCACAAGAGTCTATTCTGGTCCAAGGCGTAGGATAGTGCTGTGCCTACCATGAGGAACTGGAAGAAATGTAGGGAGAGATTGCCATAAGGAGCTCACAGCCTCATGACAGAGACAAGATGGAAACGGTCGTAGATCCTTGCTTTACCTACAGTGTTAATTAGGACACAGGTCCAGATGTGTCATCAGGAACCCAGGCTAACAGAGGCTTAAACAAAAGAGGAGATCATACACAAGAGAATACTCTTAATCCATAAAAAAAAAAAAAAAAAAAAATCCTGTCATTTGCAACAACATGGATGGAACTGGAAGTTATTATGTTAAGTGAAATAAGCCAGGTACACAAAGACAAATATTGCATGTTCTCACTCATTTCTGGGAGCTAAAAAGTTGAACTTGCGGAATTCAACTTTTTAGAGTAGAATGATGGTTACTAGAGGCCGGAAAGAGTAGAGAGGGGGATAAAGTGGGGTTGGTTACTGAGTACAGACATATAGTTATGTAGAAGAAATAAGTTCTCGTTTGATAGCACAATAGGATGACTATAGTAAACAGCAATTTATTGTATATTTCAAATCAGCTAAAAGATTTGAAATGTTTCCAATACAAAGAAATTATAAATGTTTGAGGTGATGAATATCTTAAAGACCGATTTGATCACTACACAGTGGATGCATGTTTCAAAATATCACATGTACTCCATAAATATGTACAATGACTACGTATCAGTAAAAAAGAGAAGTTAATTTCTCTCAAGTGTAAAAGTCTGGGCTGGTATAGCAGCTGTGGCTCTAAGGTTGTCAGGGGCCCAATTGTAACTACCCAGTGGGTTCACCTTGCCCGCTGCCTAGACAGAGCTGATTTATCTTTATCAAGTCGGGAATTGCAACAGAGAAAGAGTAATTCATGCAGAGCCAGCTGTGTGAGAGATCAGAGTTTTATTATTACTCAAATCAGTCTCCCGAGCATTCAGGGAGCAGAGTTTTTAAGGACAATTTGGTAGGCTGGAGGATGCCAGTGAGCCAGGAGTGCTGATTGGTCAGAGATGAAATCACAGGGAGTCAAAGCTGGCTTCTTGCACTGAGTCAGTTCCTGGGTGGGGGCCACAGGATCAAATAAGCCAGTTTATTGATCTAGGTGGTGCCCCCTGATCCATTAAGTGCAGCATTTGCAAAGCATCTCAAGCATTGATCTTAGGAGCAGTTTAGGGAGGGTCAGAATCTTGTAGCCTCCAATTGCATGACTCCTAAACCATAATCTCTAATCTTGTGGCTAATGTTAGTCCTACAAAGGCAGTCTAGTCCCCAGGCAAGAAGGAGGTGTGCTTTGGGAAAGGGTTGTTTCAACTCCCTATGATTTCATCTCTGACCAATCAGCACTCCTGGCTCCACTGGCTTCCCCCTACCCACCAAGTTATCCTTAAAAACTCTGCTTGGGGAGACTGATTTGAGTAATAATAAAACTCTGGTTTAATGCACAGCTGACTCTGCACGAATTCCTCTTTCTCTATTGCAATTCCCCTGTCTTGATGAATCGAGTCTGTGTAGGCAGCAGGCAAGGTGAACCCCTTGGGCGGTTACAGGAATTGAGAACGCCAGACTTCAGTGGAAATTGAACGCTGGCCCATCTGCTAGGTTCACTGGCTAGCTCTGAATCTTGGTTCAGGAAACTGGCCTCACAACTCAGGATTCCAGTCCATGACCTTTCAGGTCTTCAGAAGGAGCTAAAGCTGTGTGTTTATTGTTAAGCCTATGAATCATAAATTTTTTGAACCAGAGTGAGTGTTATGATAGACATCTGAGTGAAGCTGTCCATTTTGATGTGGCTATTTTTATTCAAAGGACATGTTAATGTGGTACTTTTAACCCAGGTCATTTGGGGCTATATCAAAATGTAAAAACTGTTTTCTGTGCAAGCCACCTTTAATCCTGCCCTCCTTCCCAGCTTCAATCCACTGCTTGCTCTACTCCCTCCTCGCTATTGTCATTCAACTGCAAAATTTATGGCCTTAGCAAAGCGCCCATAATAAGTGGACCCTAGTAAAAGATCTGTAAATCCACCATTCCTCTCCCAAGGGAAATTTAATAAAAACGAACTCAGATAAAAACACTCATTAAGAATCGAAACAAAGATTGATAGTGTTTAATTTATAATTAATACATGTCTTTCTTTCTCTAGGATATTTGAAAATATTTTATTCTCATGATTTTTGACCAGTATCGAAGTGGTTCCACCAATTCTCGTATTTTAATAATGCCTGTGGTGTCTCTTTTCTTTGTACAAAGAGATTATATTTGAGGTTTCTTTTGGGTTGGTCCTTGGACTGGCAAATTTCCAAATGGCTTTGACTGAGCCATTTGGAAAGCTAATTCTTAGCCATTACCTTTCATTTTCCTTTCACTAGCTGACCTAACATAGGTAGAAATAATGAGGTTTTGTGGGGTTTATTTTTGACAACTTTAGTGGCTTTAAATGTCTTTAGCCCAATTTTTAAATGGTTGCAGATTTTAAGGTGTATTATCTACTAACACATCAAATGGAACCTCTGGGTCTTTAGTTGTCACAAACAGAATCACTTGAGCTGCAAGGAAAAACTTAAACCACTTCTGTTTGGTGTTTTTAACTCTTCATTGGCTAATTTCTTTTTTATTTATTTATTTATTTTTGAGATGGAGTCTTGCTCTGTCGCCCAGGGCTGGAGTGCAATGGCACCATCTCAGCTCACTGCAACCTCCGCCTCCCGGACTCAAGTGATACTCAGCCTCCCAAGTAGCTGGGATTACAGGCATGTGCCACCATGACCTGCTAATTTTTTTTTTTTTTTTTTTTTTTTAGACGGAGTTTCACTCTCGTTGCCCAGGCTGTAGTGCAACGGCACAATCTTGGCTCACTGCAACCTCCACCTCCCAGGTTCAAGTGATTCTCCTGCCTCAGCCTCCCTAGTAGCTGGGATTACAGGCATGTGCCACCACGCCCAGCTAATTTTGTATTCTTAGTAGAGATGGGGTTTCTCCATGTTGGTCAGGCTGGTCTCTAACTCCTGACCTCAGGTGATCTGCCCACCTCGGCCTCCCAAAGTGCTGGGATTACAGGCATGAGCCACCGCACTCGGCTAATTTTTGTATTTTTTTTTAGTAGAGGAGGAGTTTTGCCATGTTGGCCAGACTGGTCTCCAATGTCTAACCTCAGGTAATCCACCCACCTCGGCCTCCCACAGTACTGGGATTATAGGCATGAGCCACTGCATCCAGCCTCCTTGGCTAATTTCTTTTACAGTTTCTTTTCTTTTTTTTTTTTTTTTTACTAAATGGGGGAAAAAATAGTACTCAAGAAGACTGAATAGGTAGCATATAATCTATCCTGCTTCAAATCCATCACTGCAGTTGGCTCATTTTCTTCATCTGTAACAGGGAATAATAATGGTACATAATTCAAGGGTTTGAGCATTCAACTAAGATGCATAAAGTGCATAGCACAGTGCCTTGCACATAATAAATGGTCATTAAATGATAGCTATTTTTGTATTATTATTCTTTAGCACAAAATTAAATCCTAAATGTCTTACTCCCTCCAAAAGGGATTAAATTATGATTTAATTTTATGATTTAATTTGTGGGGACATGCTCTGAAACTGGCATAATGAAAATGGTGCCTTCACAGTGGAGAAAGTTGGAGGAGAAGATTAAAATTAAGTCAACAATAGTGTGATGGGTTGGCATTGTGCACTTCCTGATAGAGCACATGGAGAGCACCCAGCATCATTTTTGTGTAATTCCTGCCAAACCTCATGTTGAAATTTGATCCCCAATGTTGGAGGTGGGTCCCAATGGGAGGTGCTTAGGTCATAGGGGTGGATCCTTCATGAATGGCTTGATGAAGTTCTTGCAATAGTGAATTTTCACTCTACCAGTCCCTACCAGAACTGGTTGTTAAAGAGAGCCTGGCACCTCCCTCCCCTCTGTCTTGCTTCCTCTCTGGCCATGTGATCTCTGTACACTCAGGCTCCCCTTCTCCTTCTGCCATGAGGGGAAGCAGCTTGAGGCCCTTACCAGAAGCAGATAAGCTTCTTGTACAGCCTGTAGAACCATAAGCCAAATAAATCTTTCTTTATAAATTACCCAGCTTTGGGTATTCCTTTTAGCAACACAAACAAACAAGATAGTTTCTCTAAGGATAAGTCTATCAAAGCAGCATAAATAGCCATCCCAAACAAGTATGGCGTTTGTTCTATTGGTTTCTGTGTGGCACCCATGCTAAGGAAATAAAAATGTCTTGTGTGAACAGGTTTCCAAACTACTGCCAAAAATTTTCTTTTGACCTCTTGCTGTGACAAACTGCATTAATGCACTTGTTCATAAAGAGCCACCTTTACATTCCTGTAGTAAAGCTGACTTGGTCATAATGTAGTATTCTTTTAATATACTACTGAATTGAATACTAACACTAAAATTTATATGGGATGTATGCCTCTATGTTCTTAAATGTGTAATCATTGTATTGAACAGTCTGAAGTCAGCAGGGCGTAAACATAAGATGGTTTTGTGGGGTTTTTTGTCCAATTGCTTATCTTCAGACAAATTCTTCCAAATCTCTTCTTCCTGACCCATAATGACATTTGAACAAATCTTATGGATTTGTGGTCACTTTCAATTAACAAAAAGTCCAGGCCAACCTATTACCAGTTTAAAACTTCAGTTACAGCATCAGCAGTACTGTGTCCAAGTGCAAGGATGTCAAGAATGTTTCCTTATCCAAAACTTCCAGGAAGAATTTAGAGCTCAGACAGAACCCCACAGAAGCTCCTTCACAAATGTGCAGAGGATGCAAATAAGTGCCTTTGCTTGCTCTCCGTGGTCAGCATGAGTTTACAGCAGGAATAAGGGCATTCAGAACACCTGGAAGCAATAGACGTCCTTTCGAAAGAACAAGATGATGGTGGCCTCAGGCAGAGAAGCCTGTCTGCTGAGTACAAAGACCATGTGCACCAGTCTAATAACAGTCAAGGGAAGACATTGGTCTCTAGTTTACCAACCACCTAAGGAGGAAGTGAGTGAAATTATCTGAAATGAACCATGCCAAGCCTGGGTACAAAGCAAGATTCTTCATGAGCCTGGACTTGGAGGTCTCTATAGCTATTCCTCCACTCCATGGAGCTACACTCAGCCTGCTCACCCCCATCAAGAGCAGTGTGAAAGGAATGAACTACTGATACACACTGCAAAATGGATAATCCTTGAAAATATGATGTGCGGTAAAAGGAGCCAGTCACGAGTGACAATATACTGTATAATTCCATTCTTATAAAAGTCCAGAATGGGGTCTCTAGAGAAACAGGAAGTAGATTTCTGCTTGCTTATGGCTGGGGGGCAGTGGTTGGAGGATAGAGGAGTAATAGCTAAAAGGTACAGGATTTCTTTCTTTTGAGATAATGAAAATATTCTAAAATTGACTATGATGATGGTTGCACACACCTGTGAATGTACTAAAAAACCATTGAATTGTACATACTGTTAAATGGGTGGATTATATGGTTTGGACATGGTTTGTTTGGCCTCACTAAATCTCATGTTGAAATGTGATCCCCAGTGTTGGAGGTGGGGCCAAGAGGAAGGTGTTTGGCTTGGTGCCATTCTCACAGCAGTGAGTTCTCACTCTTAGTTCCCATGAAAACTGGTTGTTGAGAAGAGACTGGCCCCTCCTTCTCTTTCACCATATAAGTCTGCATGCTAGCTTCCCTTCCTCCCCTTCTGCCATGAGTGGAAGCAGCCTGAGTCCCTTGCCAGAAGCAGATGCTGGTGCCATACTTCCTATACAATCTGCAGAACCATATGCCAAATAAACCTCTTGCCTCTTTAAATTATCCAGCCTCAGGTATGTCTTTATAGCAATGCAAATGGGCTAAGACATGTGTTATGCAAATTATATCTTAATAAAGCGATTTTTTTTTAAAAAAGAGAGACAGAGAAAGAGATGTGGAGATTCTGCCAACCAATGACAAAGTGTGCAAGAAAAACAACATGTTAAGGCATGGTAGGCCCATGTCCTGCAGCTCTTTAGGTCTGAGATGTCTGAATTCAAAAGGACCATCCGATTCATGCAGCAGGCACAGCTGGGGAGGTATGAATCAATGGGTAATGAGGCAAGAGGCACATACACATCCTCAGAGGCAAGAGGAAAGGGATGATGAATACTGGGGTACTCAGGCCTGTGAGCAACCCCCACCCAGGTCACAGAACTCCTCTTCCTGCCCTCTCCTCTCTGGGAAATACTTATTTGCTTCTGGCCTGGGGATAAGGAAGGGAGACAGGAAGGACTGACTTTCTACAAAAATTTTAAAACCGTATCTGCAGTTGACTCCCTGTGGGCAGCAAAAGGGACTTTTCTTAGAAAAAGACTCTTTGAAGTTGTGCTTTCCTCCAGATTTCTAACATTCAGAGCTTCTTTCCAGCTCTGGCTACTGTGACAGGCCCCTAGCCAGAGCAGTTTCTCTGCACTGGGAGTGAGCACCAGAAACCACCAGCACTGGGATTTCATTTCTTTGCCCCTAGTTGGAATACAGACTTCTGAGGGACATGTGCTCCCTGTCCACCCTCACCTTCGCCCACTGGGAGGAGGCCTGCGTCCTACTTATGCATAAGCCCCATGAATGTCAACTGAAAGAGAAGAGCATTTAGCCAAGGGAGGAGGAAAGCCACTGCTGAGGTGCAGCGTGAGCAGGATGGTCAGTGATGTGTCAATGACCAACAGTGATCTGGAAGTTGTAGTCCTCCCTTGAGGGTGACTCAGATGGTCTTTGCGTATATTGTTCCATCTAGAAGCATTGAGAAAACAGCTCCTTCTGTGCCTGTCTCCCTTTTTCTATCACATTCAGCAGAGGGAGGGCCATTCAGGCCCCTGTTGAGAGGCCAGGCTGGCTTTCAGGATGGGGGAGATCCCCAGGGAAGGGTACAGTTACCCCTGAGGCTTCCACCAGCCTTTTGTTCTGCTCCCCCTCACCAAGTCCCCAGGAAGCACAGGTCCCCTAGGTCTCTCAGGTGTGAGCTACCAAGTCAAGTGCCTGCTTTATCCAGACAGGCAATGCCAGAGAAGAGCTGCTTCACCATCTCTGTCTCAACAGCAATGATGACAGGGATGGACTCTCTGACTCCAGGGGTGCCATCCCTAAAGAACAGGCAGCTACAGCAGCCACCTGGCCACAACAATGGAAGGGAGAGGTGGCCAAGGGTGGGAGAAAGCTTTTGCCATCTTGAGCCATGAGAGCAAAGGGGAAACAGATGGTTCATCCATGAATAACCAGGTCAAAGACTCCACAGCAGCAGACTCAGTGATCCCTACTCAGAAGCTAAGAATTCTGTTCCAGCAGGTTCATGCTAGACTTGCCCAGGGTGAGCACATGACCTGGAAACCCTGTAAACCCTGTAAAGAGAAGCATCAGATTTCATTATCTAGAAACCTCCATTACATTGTGACCAGGGAAGTCACACACACACACACACACACACACACACACACGCATGTGCACGCACGCTGCTCCCCAAGATTGACATCATTTGGTTAGTTTAGTTAGACCCTACTTTGTCCAGAAATAAGTCAAGGAGCCTCCAAACACTAGCTATGTGGCTAAAAGCCTGTGCTCTGTTCTCAGGCCATGTCGTCTTGTCATGGCACAGAGCTGAGTTTGATGCCCAGTCCTGTCACACAGCAGCTGTGTAGACTCGATTCTGTGCTTCACCACACCGAGCCCCAAGCTCCCGCTCCCCTTTGTAGGATGGTTACAGAGATGGGAAACTATGTAAAGCAATTAGCAATAATGGGAGCTGTTTTTGTTTAATAAAATACTTCAGTCGCATTTCCCAATGCTGCTCCCGCAGCCCCCAGCTCGGTCCTGGGAGCAGTGAAGGGAGGGAGGGACTTTTTCTGCTGCTGAGAAAATCTCTTCCTTGTCCCCCTTCATTTTCAAGGCTCAAGCCCCTAGTGCCAGTGTCACTTTATGTAACTGGATAGCTCTTGGGAGTGAGGAGCACCCAGTGAAGTGAGGAGCACTCACTTTGGCTTAGTCCATTCTGTCTGTAGCTAATGGTTCCACTGATTGGCCCCTGTGGTAAGGGCAAGGTACTGGCTTTGTTTGGTGTAGTGTTTAGCTCTGCTCTGGGAGACAGTCCCATCTCCCTGCTGGCCCAGCAGCCATTCATGCCTGCCATTCCCCTGGTTGTTTGGGGCACCCACTTGTCTGGCCTAGCCACTTGGGCACCCCCAGAGCCTCCGTTCCTCCTGCACTTCACCTGTTCCTTCACATAGAGTACGGGGGGCCCTTTCTGCACACCCTGAAGGCCTTAGCCATCTGGGAGGGCAGCCCCCACATCCAAGTCTTCCAGGCATAGTACACCAAAGTCCTCACCCTCTCTCTCAGCACAGGCTGCCCAGCAGTCTCCAGCCCTCAGGAATCCTCAGGTGAAGCAGGCACTGTTCTCTATGTTCACAGCTGCTATGGGCTGAATTGTGCTGCCTCGAAATTCATCTGTTGAAGTCCTAATCCCCAGAATGTGACTGTATTTGGAGACGTGGTCTTTTAAGAGGTGATTAAGGTTGAGTGAGTTCACTGGGGTGGGCTCCAATTCAGCCTGACTGGTGTCCTCATAAGAAGAAATTAGGTCCCAAGAAGCATAGAGCAAAGACAATGTGCACACAGAGGTAGAAGGCAGCCACCTACAAGCCACAGAGAGAGGCTCAGAAGAACCTAATCCTATTGTGACTTGGACCTTGGAATTATAACCTTCAGAACTGTAAGAAAATTAGAAAAAAGAAAATTCTATCCTTTAAGCCACGCAGTCTATGGTATGTGTCATGGCATCTCTAGGAAACGGATGGATACAGCAACCACCCCACACCTGCCCCAAACTCCTGGGGACGCCTGCCAGACTGCCCAAGGGATCTCCCTCCACACTGCCATCATCTCAGCCCCTCTTCTTGGGGTCAGGCTCCAGATTTCACAGCTCAACCAATACCCAACCAGCAAATAGGATCTAAGACTTCCTTCAGCCTCCCCAAGTCTCTAGGAAGGATCCTCTGTGGTCCTGGCTTGCCCAGTGGGGAGCACACCCTCCCCTCAGTCCCTGATCCAGATTTCTGTCAAGTACCTTCTCCCTCTCAGTCCTCTGTCTGGAGCTGGGGAGGTTGCTGGAATGAGGAGGAGGTGGAAGGAGCCTGTGCAGCCAGCTCCTAAGAAATCCGGATGTAGGTGCCTGGGCCTCTGATGCTTTTGGGCTTTCTTTACAAGTGGCTGTGCTGGTTAATTTTATGTAACAACTTGGCTGGGCCGTGGTGCCCAGATATTTGGCAGAACATTATTCTAGATGTTTCTGTGAAGGTGTTTTTTGGATGAGATTAACATTTAAATCCATGGACTTTGAGTAAAGCGGGTTACCCTCTGTAATGGAGATGGGCTTCATCCAATCTGTCGAAGGCCTGAATAAAGATAATATAAAAGATAAAATAATAGACTGACCTCCCCTGAGCAAAAAGGAATTCTGTCAGCAAACTGCCTTCGCACTGGAACCACAACTCTTCCCTGAGTCTCAGCCTGCCAGCACACCTTGCAGATTTTGGACTTCCAAACCTCTACAATCCATGAGCCAAGTCCTTGAAACAACTCTCTCCATATACATATACACATATCCTGTTTGTTCTGTTTCACTGGAGAGCTCAAACTGGTCCAGTGGCTTTCTTTAGATCTACTGCTTTGGGTGTCAATTACTCATTCTGAGGCAATTGAAAAATTCCCACTCACTTCCTGCCACAAGTGAAATTGGATTATAGTTTTCTGGGATCTCATCCTCAGGTTTTTGGTGTAAAGTTATGCTATTTTCAAAAAATACGATCATACACATTTTGTACTTTCCCCAGAAAGTTATCTATTTCCTAAAGATTTAAAATAATCCACCCATAAAACCACTTCCTTTTCTGAATGCAACTCTTTAATAACTTTCTTGGTTTCTTCAGATCTATTATGATTTGGCTACATTTTGCCAATTTATTTGCCATTTATGTTTTCTTATATTACTCATTTTGACCATTTTTATACATTCTTTTCTCATTAAAAAATTTTATGTGTCTGTATGCACATTTCTTCTTTATTATTCTCTATGTTAAATTTTTGATTTTTCTTTTTTTATTAAACTTGTTGGAGCTCTTCCTCTCTCTCTTCCCTTCTATTCCTCCAAAAGCCAGTAGCTATGGCCAAGAAAGGTCAGTGTCTGCAGAGGTGAGGGAGAGCCTTGGTAACCGGAAGCAGGCTGTCAGAGCCCAGGTGGAGCACCAAGGGCATTGTGCAGGGGTGCTGCCAGGCACAGAGTGCAGAGCCTGAGCGTGGGGTGAGAATATTGGTTCAGGGGCGGAGGCGTGCAAACAGCATGAGGCATCAGAGAATAAGAGGAAAACATTCAAGAGGGGATGCCCAGCATAGGGTGTCAGAATCCAGCAGGATGAAGAAGGCTTCCAGGTGGGAAAGGCAGACTGGTGCTCAGATGTTGTGAGGAGGGCATCTGCACAGGGAAGAAGGTGCAGTTGGAGGTTGATTACATAAAGGGAATTGATCAAATAAGTAAATAGGCAGTCAGCCCTCTGTATTCATGGGTTCTGCATCCATGGGTTCAACCAACTGGATCAAAAATATTCAGGGAAAAAAAAATTACAATAATTAAAAAATAAATTAAAAGACAATACAGTATAACAGGTATTTACATAGCATTTGCATTGTATTCAATATTATAAGTAAGCTAGAGATGACTGAAGGCATATGAGAAGATGTGCATAGGTTCTACGTAAATATTATACCATATTAGATAAGGAACTTGAACATCCGTGGGGGGTCCTGGAACCAATACCCCACAAATACTGAGGGATGACTGTATTAGGGATAATGTGAATGATATTTCTCACTTTCAGGGAAGGGAGTTATAACATGTAGAAAATAAGAGAACTAGAATGAATCCAGTGATATTGGACTAGAATTGGGGCTGTTGGTGTGAGCTCACTGATTTCAAAATATGGAGACAGATATAGAAATATAGATGTAAATGTATATATATATATATATATATATATATATATATATATATATATGGGGATATATGTATACACACATCTTCAGAGGAAGAGCATAAAACTACAATGGAGAATCCTGGCAAACAGCAGGCTTATCAACTTAATGTCCACTGAAAGGGCCTGGGGTAGTGATACCCCAGTAGCAATGAGCACACCTAGTGTTCAGGTCTTGGCTTCTAAATAACATTCTCCATTAAAAGGAACAAGAGTTCCCTGGAGAAATGGCTGACTCCAGAGTTTAGATAGAGAAAGTGCAAGATATCCTGGAATATACTATCATTCTAGAAAGCAAGGTAGCTTAAAGAATGATAGAAACATGTCAAAATGAATCAGCTTAAAGGGGCTACCAAACACCAAATCAGAGGCAATTTGGGCACTAAGATAAATAGTGATAGTAACAAACGATAACTTATTGAATAGAACAGGAAATCATAAGACTATCTGACATAAATAAATGAATAAAAGTTTAATGAAGCATGGGATACACACTCTCAAAATATCTCTTCACGAAGTACTTATTAATTACATAGAGGAAAAGAGTAAAACTATAATGAAGAACCCTGGCAGATACAAGGTTTGTTTATCAACTTAGGTTATCAACATGAACATTATGAGCAATGGGATGAATCAGCATCCTGAGCCACCTGCAAGATTGCAATGAGAAGGTCACAGAAGCATCACTTCTGTGTTGTTCCTAGTTAAGACACATAACTTGAATCTAACTTTAAGGAAAGTCAGACAGGCCCAAATTAAAGGATATTAAACAAAATAAATGGGTTGTAATCTTCAAAAGTGTCAATGTCATGAGAGTCAAAGAAAGATGAAGAAAGTGTTCCAAAGTGAAGGAGTCTGTAGAGACAAGAAGCTAATCACTAAAGGCAACACATCATTCTGAACTGATTCTTTTTGATGTAAAGAACATTATTGGGACATTTGGCATAAGGAATATTATTGGGACATTTGGCAAAATGCAAATAAAATCTGAGGATTAGATGGTAATAAACTATTGATGAAAATTTCCTGATTTCAGTGGGTATGGAGGACTAGTAGGGAGGGTCTGCTCCTCACAATCCCCTCAGTTCTACCCTGTGCTTCCTCTCTCTTGCTGGGGCAAAGAGAGGGAAGATGGAAAAGGGAAAATGTCTCTTACTTAATTAGGCAAGCTTGTTATTTTTTTCCTAGATAATGATAATGAGGTGTGTATGTATGTGTATATGTGTTTTATATATTTTGATGCTATGTTACTTATTGCATAAAGATTTATAATTGTTATATATTCAAAATAACTGTACCCTTTATTGAAATAAAAGCTCTTTAAGGCCAGGGTATGGTGTCTCATGCCTGCAATCCCAGCACTTTGGGAGATAAAGGCAGAAAGATTGCTTGAGGCTAGGAGTTGGAGACCAGCCCGAGCAACATAGCGAGAACCTCATCGCTTAAAAATAAATAAATAAATAAATAAATAAATAAATAAATAAATAATAAAACCTCTTTGTTGCATTGAATCTGTTTGGTTTTGAATCCTGCTTAGCCTGAAATTAATATTAGGGCTCCTGCTGTCTTTATGTTTGTATGTGCTTGATGTAACCTTGCCTGTCATTTACTTTCATATATATTTTTTATTGGGGGAAAATATACCATTTTAACCATTTTTAGGCCTACAATTCAGTGGCATTAATTACATTCACAGTGTTCTGCAACTATTACAACTATTTCAAAAACTTCATTCTCCCAAACAGAAGCTCTAACCATTAAGCAATAGCTCCTCATTTCCCCTCTCTCCAGCCTCTGGTCATTTCTAATTACTTTCTGTCTGTGAATTTGCCTATTCTAGGCACCTCAGTATCCGTCCTTTTGTGTCTGACTTACTTCATTTCACTTAGCCTGTCTTCAAGGTTCATCTGTGTTTTAGCATGTATCACAACTTCATTCCTTTTCGTGGCTGAATAATATTCTCTAGTACATATATAACACATTTTGTTTACTCAGCAACCTGCTGATGAACACTTGGATCACTTCCACCTTTTGTCTACTGTGAATAATGCAGCAATGAACATTGATGTACGAGTATTTGTTTGAGTCCCTGCTTTCAATAGCTTTGGGTACACACCTAGGAGAGGAATTGCTGGATCCTATTTGCTTTTTGCATTACTGTTTTACTTTATTTTGAAAGCCTCTCTTATAGGAAGCATACAATTTGAGAGTTTTTGTCATAAAATAAAGGAATATAGCCCATTTACACTCATTGTTGAAATAGATTATTAGTATTATATCTATTACCCAAAAATTATTTTAATGCTTTCTTGCTTCTTCCAGTGCTTGCTGTTTGGTATGGTGACCACGTATTCTTGGCATTTTATCTTTTCCTCTGTGTGTGCATGTGTGTATACATATTGCATATGTTATATAATTATATACTATTTATTGTAATTCATTTTATATTATGTGTATTTATACATGGCACATTATCTGTCTAGAATTCTACAAATAGTTATTTTAACTTTTCTTTTTCTTTTTTTTTGAGATGGAGTCTCGCTCTGTTGCCCAGGCTGGAGTGCAGCGGCGCAATCTCGGCTCACTGCAAGCTCCGCCTCCTGGGTTCACGCCATTCTCCTGCCTTAGCCTCCCGAGTAGCTGGAACTACAGGTGCCCGCCACCGCGCCTGGCTAATTTTTTGTACTTTTAGTAGAAATGGGGTTTCACCGTGTTAGCCAGGATGGTCTCAATCTCCTGATCTCATGATCTACCCGCCTTGGCCTCCCGAAGTGCTGGGATTACAGGCGTGAGCCACCACACCCGGCCAGTTATTTTAACTTTTCAAAAGTATTCTTTAACTCACAAATTTTTTCTAACTATTAATCAAGAGTACATCAATACTTCCCAAGTTCTCTTTGCTTCTTCTTGAGAATATTTCTAACTTTTCAAATTTTGAGCCACTTTTTAAATTCTTTAGACTTTTCTCTGTTTAGCAGGCATTTGCACCCTGTCATTTCATTTCATGGCTTCCCTATTCTTGATTCTTAAATGTGTTTCATCTCTTGACAATTTTAAATACTTCTCAGAGTTCCTTATTTAAAAAGGGCTCAGTGTGGCATATTTCTTAAACCCTTGCATATTTGAAGGTATCTTTCCTAAGACTTCAAACACTGTAAGTACCTTGGCTGGACATCAAATTACTGAATCACAATCTTTTTCTCTGTTCTTCTGAAAACTCTGTAGACGTTCTTTATCCAAATTGAGGGCACTAAGAGCTTGAAGCCAGTCTGATTTTCCTTCCTCAGTAGATTTCCTCTTTATTCTGTGTATATACTTGTAGGCTTTTAAAAATCCTGATTCTTCAAACATTTTTGCAGGGTGTCTAGCTAGAGGTCCATTTCCAGCCATTTTGTCCTGGGATATATCAATCTCTAGTGAGCTACACACTCAGGGTGTGCATGGTGGTCCCTTATCTGTTGGATGATGGCTTCTCTCTGGTCTCACCCCTCAGGATCACCAAATGTCTGCTTGGTGCTTCTGTGCTCCCTGGTCTCCATATATATAAACTTTCCTCCTGCCTTTTTAATTTCTGTATCTTTTTCTCTGCATTTTTGATGAGATTTCTCGACCTTGACCTCTACAGCACTGATTTAATATTTTACGGTACCAATTCTGTTCTTTAATCTCACCCAGGGATTAGCGGTGGGTTTTCATTCTGTGATTACATTTTTAGTTTCTCTGACAGTGTTTCCTTTTCTTATCAATTCCCTTTTCATTTAATCTTTTTTTTAAAAAAAAAATCTCATTCTGTGGCTTTTTAAAGAATGCCTGCCCTTCTCTTTATGGCTTTCTACCTTTATTTCATAGGGGCTATGTCTTCTGACATGCAGAGTAGGATGTTGAGTAAGATTTTCCCTTTAGATCAAGAACTGTTGTTAGGAGGACCCAAAATGAGGATGAAGGGCTGGGTGCCCAAGTTCTAGTTAAAGGGATGCAGCCTATGTAGACCCTCTGACTTGATCCTGTAAAGCCACCTTCTTGGGGGCTTTGGGCCATTCTTGGGGTTCCTGGACAGACAGCTGGGCCTGCATTTCTGAGAACGCTCCTACAGAACCACGACAAAGCATCAATTCCCAGCTGTCTCCCTTCCCTTGAAGCTGACAAAGGCAGAGTTTCCAGAGCCCAGGAGGTTTCTTTTGCAGCAAAAAAGCTCCAGGGCTCGACAGAGTCAACACTGTTCCCTGAGGGGAACTCGGTTTTTCACCAGCTTCTAACCAGAGCCAAGTCCTCCTTCAGTTTTTTCCCAGACTTCCTCCTTGCCTCAGCCTGGGAACAAAAGCATTTCAACAAATCCACAGGATCATGCTAATTGGCAAATAACTCAGGCTCTCGTGCCCTGAGGGGGTCGTAGGTCTGTTGGGCACTGCCAGGGGAAGAGGAAAACTGAGCACCTTAGCAAATGCAACAGCTCCTATATTTAATTGCATTTAAATATGTCCCCTCAAGGAGTCTGCAGGCCCTCAGGGGTACAGGAAGTTATGAGCTAAAACAATTTCTCCTAATTGCTGAACCAGACAACCCAAACAGAACCCTGGGTTTGAGATTCTCATACAGAAATCAGCTCATTCTAATTATTGGGTCAGCTAAGACTCCACCCTAGACCAGGGTCTCCCAAAGTGGCTTTCTCAAAGCACTATTTCTATAAAATGTTAATAGGTGTTTCTGAAAATAGGGTTCCAATTAAAATAAACTTGAGATATGCATAGTAAACAGAGTGGCAGGTTTCTTTCCTGCAGGACTTCTTGGCATCTGGCATGCTAATTGCCTATTATTCAGTCAATCATTGGGCATACACTGAGTATCTGCTGTGTGCCAAGCATTGTGGAAACAGAGATTCCCACATGGTCCATGTCTGCAAGCTTACGGTGAGTTTTATAATACCTTAGTACTCAGTACCGGCAACATCAGATGAAAACTTGTTAGACATGCAGGCTCTCCAGCCTTGCCTCCACACTTACTGAATCAGAATCTGCATTGTAACACACTTCCTGCATGATTAAAGTATGAAAAGCCCTGGAATAATGCATTGCTAGGAGAGAAAAGGAAGGAAAAAAGAATGGCTGAACTGGGAAGCCGGGAACTTTGCTATGGAACCCAGGTAAAACCATGGGCAACCAAACTGGGGAGGGGCACATTGTCCTCACTTCAGCTTAGACAGTGAGGCTCAAGCCAGGAGGACTGAGAAGAATGCAGTTCCATTTTGGCATCAATATTTGTTGAGGCAAGGTTCAACTTTGAGGAAAAGAATGTTAGAAATAAATTTTCAGTGCTGCAAAAGAAATAGCACTCGAACATAAATTTAATTTTCTCACCAAGGCAATTTTACTTCTAGAGAAGGGTGCAACTCATAGATGGAGCAATGGCAAGAGCACACCTGAACAAGGGAGGAGAAGGGGTTTTTATTCCTGATGCAGGTAGCCCTTACTGCTGTGTCGTTCCACTATTGGCTAGGGTTGGTCCGCACAGTTTAAGCTAATTCCGATTGGCTATTTTAAAGAGAGCAGGCATACGAGTCGGAGTGGCAGGGTGAGTAGTTTGGCAGGAGGGATGGTTACAGAACAGATGACTCAGGATGACTCAGGTCAGAGCAAGTGACCAGGGGTGAATCAGGACGGAGCAGGTTATACAGGCTAGTAGGAGGTAGTTTACTGAAACTAGGGGCAAGGAGACAAAGAGAACGAGGAAGTTAAACTTTAAAATGAAGAAAAAGAACAGGGGAGCTGTGTTAGATATAGTGAACTCCAAGTTTCTCTTCAAAGAATCAGTATGTCAGTATGGTCAGCTCTCTTATTCTTTGTTCTTCATTTTAAAGTTTAACTTCCTGGTTCTCTTCAATCTTTTGTCTCTAGTTTCAGTAAACAACTTTCCCACCAGTTCTAATCAGTAGTTCACATCTGTTCCCCTGGTCACCTGCTTTGACCTGAGTCACCCCTGGTCACCTGCTCCATCCTGACTCATCCTGAGTCACTTGTTCCGTAACCGTCCTTTCCGCCAAACTACTCACCCCACCACTCTGACTCATACCCTTGCTCTCTTTAAAATAGCCAATCAGAAATTAGCTTAGACTGTGTGATCCAACCCTAGCCAATAGGGGAACAATACAGCAGTAGGGGCTAGCTGCATCAGGAATAAAAACCCCTTCCCCTCCCTTGTTCAGGTGTGCTCTCGCGATTGCTCCATCTGCAAGTTGCACCCTTCTATAGAAGTAAAAATTGCCTTGCTGAGAAAATTAAATTTATGCTCGAGTGCTATTTCTTTTGTAGCATCAAAAATTTATTTATAACAGCTAAACATACTGATATATTGGTTCTTTGGAGAGGATCTCAGAACTCATTGTACTTAACAATTTACAGGCTAAAACCTTTGAAAAGGAATTTATTATATCCTACAAGAAAAACCCCAAATAATAGTCTCTTAAACAAGATAAAATGTTTACCCTTCTCTTACTTTCAAGAAGTCTAGCAGTTAGAAGTACTGGGCTGGTATGACATACTACAGGATCAAGGACCCATGTTTTTTCTATCTCATTACTATACCACGCATGGCTTCCATTTCCAAAGTCAACTCATGGTCCAAGATGGCTGCCAGATCTCCAGACATTACAGCTGCACTCTAGCAAGCAGAAAGTGAGGGAAAAGCCTGTTGTTTTTTTTTGTTTGTTTGTTTGTTTTTTTTGACAGAGTCTTGCTCTGTCACCAGGTTGGAGTGCAGTGGCGCAATCTCGGCTCACTGCAAATCTCCACCTCCTGGGTTCAAGCAATTCTCCTGCCTCAGCCTTCCAAGTAGCTGGAACTACAGGTGCGCACCATCATGCCCGGCTAATTTTTGTATTTTTAGTAGAGGCTGGGTTTCTCCACGTTGGCCAAGATGGTCTTGATCTCTTGACCTCATGATCCTCCCACCTCAGCCTCCCAAAGTGCTGGGATTACAGGCATGAGCCACTGCGCCCGGCCATCTTCCTGCTTTTAAAGGCACTTCCTTAACAATTATACACAATGTCTACTTATATCTCATTTGCTTCAACTTAATCACACAACCACACCTAGCTGCAAGGGAGGCTAGGGAATGTCCTCTTTATCCCAGGTGGCTATTCACCCAGTTAAAAATCAGAAGTCTGCTACTATAAGCCATAGCATCTTTCAGGATCATGTTTGGGAACACTAAGATATGTAACTGACAACCAAAATGAGTAACTGAGACAAAAGTCTCAATCACTGAGGGTTATTAAGCCAGCTTTAGGGTACATCTAGGAGAAAACATGAGCCACAGACACATTTGTGACTGTTTTTCCAAAGAGGTTTTCAGGAGGTTTAGGATTTATACATTTCCTTGAAGAGGGGGAAAGGCATGTAGGGTAGGCAGTAAGGTAAACAGTTACATTCTTGTGAGACTTCAGTTAGTGCCCAGTAAATCTACATTTTACATAAGATAAGGTGAATGTCTAAAGAAAAAAAGGAAGTAAAGGAAGAATCAATTATCCAGTCTCTGGGTAGGTAGAGGAAATGACTCTTGACTTTGTTCTGCACCTGGGAAGATAAGCTTGTAATAGACACTATCAGTGTGGAGTTTTAGGAGCTAGACTTAGATTGTTGACCCAGAGTTACAATTGGCATGTCCTTGTTTATAGAGGCCAGCAAAGAATTTACTTATGAATGATCTGTGGGGGCAGCCCTTTGCAGATGCCTGAGGCCTTTTACCTTCCTCTAGGGATGCATAAGTTTAGTAATAGTTACTCATTTGGAAGAGAGGGCTGCAAGGACTCAGCCTTCAGGCTTAAGCTTCCCTTTTACATAAGAAGTCTCATCCCTGTGTCTGCTGCTAATGTCACCTGTGGCAAAGTTGAGTCCTTGTCTTAAGTTATATAAAGGAAAATGAAAAATCTCATGACAGGCCAGGCACAGTGGTTCATGCCTGTAATCCCAGCACTTTGGGAGGCTGTGGTTGGTGGATCACTTGAGGTCAAAAGTTTGAGACCAGCCTGGACAACATGGTGAAATCCCGTCTCTACTAAAAATACAAAAATTAGCCAAGCACAGTGGCACACACCTGTAATACCAGCTACTTGGGAAGCTGAGGCTTGAGAATTGCTTGACCCGGGAAGTGGAGGTTGTAGTGAGCCAAGATCATGCCACTGCACTCTAGCCTGGGCAACAGAGCGAGACTCCACATCAAAAAAAAAAAAAAAAGAAGAAGAAGAAGAAGGAGAAGGAGAAGGAGAAGGAGAAGGAGGAGAAGGAGAAGAAGGAGAAGGAGAAGGAGGAGAAGGAGAAGAAGAAGAAGAGGAAGAGGAAGAAGAAGAAGAAGAAGTTGTTGTTGTTTGAGGAGTCCTGAGATTTTTTTTTTTTTTTTTTGAGACTGAGTCTTGCCCTGTCACCCAGGCTGGAGTACAATGGCACGATCTCAGCTCACTACAACCTCTGCCTCCTGGGTTCAAATGATTCTCCTGCTTCAGCCTCCCGAGTAGCTGGGACTACAGGCACCCGCCACCATACCTGGCTAATTTTTGTATTTCTAGTAGATACAGGGTTTCACCATATTGGCCAGGTGGGTCTCGAACTCCTGAACTTGTGATCTGCCTGCCTCGGCCTCCCAAAGCGTTGGGATTACAGGCATGAGCCACTGCACCTAGCCTGTCATGAGATTTTTTATTTTCCTTTATATAACTTTAGACAAGGACTCAACTTTGCCACAGATGACATTAGCAGCAGACACAGGGATGAGGCGCCTATTTCATGGGACCAAAGAGTACAGACATCAGCGGGTAGCCAGAGCTGGCAAACACAAGAAGACTGTGAGCATATGTGGGACCCTTTCATAGCACAACCTGGAGAGATTTTTGAGATGGCTGAAGATCTAGCAGATTTTAAGTTATTATTATTAATATAACCTCCTTTCTACCCACAGTGTGTGAGAACCAGGGAGTTCAAGGTTACACTTGTTTCCAGCATCAGAGGGAAAGAGACAGATGGCATGGTTCTGTCAGCTCTATTACTTTGGGAGTTGGATAGGGTCATCCCACTCAATGGTTCATCATTTCTCAACTTCCAAATAATGAGAATAACATTAAGTTCATGGGGAGAATTTTCTGAATTTAAATTTTGTATTTATATATTTTCCTTAAAACACTAGTGCTTGCAACTGCTTGCCTACTTTTGAGCAGAGGTTTTTTTTTTTAGTGAACAAATGGCAAATGGCAAAATAAATATTAATGGGAAACAGAAACAGAATAAAACTGCAACTTCAACAAGTCTGCAATGAACACCTGGTTGTTACTACATTTTGCACATGTAGAAGAGAGCCATGTTTCCTACAGGTAAAACTGTTTCTCACTCTCATTTGCAAGATGAACTTAGATGTGCTGAGATTTCCTGGTGGACTACAAAGGTACAATGATGTCCAGACACTCTGTCCCTGAAAGGAGTGGAGGTCCACTGCTCTAGAAAAAGGTTAAAGGCAGGCTCTGAAACTTGGGAGGCCAAATCAAATGGCCCTGCCATCTTCCATAGCCCAAGCCATGATGACCCCCACATCCCAGCAGTCACAAGCCCTGTTTGGGCCTCCCAAATGCCTCACTGTGCACCCCCTGCACTCTGAGAGGCTAGAAAACATAAGGCTAAGGGTATGGACCCTGGAGCTGGACTGCCTGGTGCAAATCTCATCTTGACTTAGTAGCTCTGCAACCTTGTACAAGTCTCCTAACTGCTCCATGTCTCAGTTTCTGCATCACTGAAATGGGAATAATAATAGCACTTATTGATGAGGGCTGTGAGTGAATGCACCTGAAGCACATGGCCATCTGAGTGTCGGCTCCTGTTACTGTCACCGCGGTTACTGCTTCTTAGACCAGGCCTCATGGAGGCCACTAGTGTTCTCCTCAGAGCCTTGGCCCAAACCACTGGACAGTGAGTACCCAAAGCCCTGAGCCCTTCACTCACCCATCCAAAACCTCCAGTGACTCCTTGAGAGCCACAGAATCGAGTAGAAACTTCAAATCATCCCATTCAATGCTCTTCACGATATGGAGATTGACAGGTGTTGAAGAAGGGAAGGAGGAAGGGGATCAAATAAAAGAACACAGGGAAGGAAGGAAAAGATTGACTAGGGTGCTGCATCATTGCTTCTGCTCATTGGCTACTGTCCTAAATGCGTGGTCAAGTTGGAAATCAATTGTTTGGTTAAGTTGGTCATCTTAGGAGTCTGTTCCCTCTGCGTTTCAAAACCTAGACTGTAATTGGGTTAATGTCAAGAATAACTTATCACTCTAAGATAGGCATTTGGGGATTTTTGTCTGTAACTGGCCAGGAGAATGTAGCTTTGTGGATCCCCTGGGTGTTCACGGCCCTTGACTGGTTGCACTATGAACAAGATCAACCTAACAGGACTTGGAGGTGGACATCTGCAGAATTCGCCTACACTTTCTCTTCTGGACAAATCAGAGACACCCAGTGGTACTGGGCCCATCCACTACCACCACCACCACCCCCGCCCCAGCCCAGCCCAGTTTCCTGAGGACTGTCCCAGTTGGAGCAGGGAAAGCCCTGCATTGCGGGAAATCCCTAAGTTCCACAACAGGATGGTTGGTCCCCGCAAGGACCTGGCATCAGTGAATTCAGTCTGGCTCTCAGGGACTCCACGTTTGCTCCAAGAAGATACAAAAAGAACCCAAATTCCTCAGGACTGTAGTTCTAGCAAGGGTTCACAGATGATTTGTTATCAGAGCTTCTGGGAAGCTACTGGCTTCTAACTAGGACCTTCAGTGTTGACTGAAGTTTGGGCATGTGTGGTCAGCCTGGAGCCTGAGTAGCTTCAGCTTTTGCTTCCACACCCTCATAGGCCTCACCGCAGACCAGCTACAGAATCTCTGAGGAAGGCCCCCAGGCAGCAGCGTTGTAAAATCTCACCAGGTGATTCCAACCCACAGCCAAGTTTGAGAGAGCCAGTGATCTGGAACAGGGGCTGCAAACTTTTTCTGTAAAGGACCAGAGAATGACAACTTTTGGCTTCATGGGCGATAGGGCCTCTGTCCTGACTGCTCAACTCTGCCATCATACGGCAAAGGTAGCCACAGACAGTACATGAACAAATGGGCATGGCTGTGTTCCAGGCAGAGCCAGCCTCATGGGCGTTCAGCCTGTGCAAGCAAAGGGCCCACACTTAAAAGGACCCCTGTGCCTAGCTTAGTTCTCTGCCGTTGCTGTCTTGACAGTCTTCATAATTTTTGAACAAAGGGTCTCACGTTTTCATATTGCACTGGGTTCCACAAATTCTGTAGCCAATCCTGGTTCCAATAAAACTCTGTTTACGAAAACAGACATTGGGTCACATTTGCCCCGTGGGCCACAGTTTGCCAACCAATCAGTGATCTAGAGCCTTGTGCCCAAAGTTCAGTCCACTCGGAGTTGGTATGGAGACCAGCAAAAGCAGCAGCAGCAGCTGGTGGCTTGTTAGAAACCCTGAGTCTCTCGGCCAGGCATGGTGGCTCACACCTGTAACCCCAGCATTTTGGGAGGCCAAGGTGCGAGGATCACTTGAGCTCAGGAGTTCGAGACCAGCCTGGGCAACATAGCAAGCTCTTGCCTCTACTAAAAATAAAAGTTAAAAATTAGCTGAGCATGGTGGTGTGTGCCCATAGTCCCAGCCTGCTCAGGAGGCTGAGGTGAGAGGATCATTTAAGCCCAGCAGTTTGAGGCTACAGTGAGCCGTGATCATGCCATTACACTTCAGTCTAGATGACAGAGTGAGGCCATGTCTCAAAATAACGACAAAAAAAATTAATCCCAAGTCTCACCCTAGGCCTGCTGAAACAGAGTCTGCAGTTTAGCAAGATCCCCAGATGATTCCTCTGCACAGCAAAGCTTGAGAAGCACTGCCCAAAGAAAGGGGTTTAAGAATGGGGTTGACCACAGAAATGAAGTGGGGGTGTTTTAGGCAGGCATTTTCTTAAAGCTGGCTCCTTGAAGCTCTGTGTGTGCGTGTATGCACATACCCATGTGTGTACAGGTATGTGGAAATAAACAAAGGTCTTGATTTGCTTGAAACAGAGCCAAACTAAACAAAAAGCTTTGTCCTCAATATAACCTGCACACCCATTCATCCATTCACTCATTTACGCACCACACACATTCTCACACACATGCAGTGGTTTACATTCACACGCAGGCACACGTTCACAGGCATACCCGCTCACTCACCTGCACATATACATTCTCACCACCATTGCTGCCCGCTGCAGGAAGCACAGAGGAAATGTGGTGAGGTGCTGGCAGGGCCAGCCCTGTTACGAGAGGAAAGAGGCATTCCCGGAGGGGATGCCAGCCCCCAGGCCTGGAGGGGAGGGTGCTGGGATCAGCAGTTTAGCATGAGTGGGCGGGGGGTGGGGGGGGTCAGAAGCAAAGACCAAAGGGACCATAGAGGCAGGAGGAGGGCAGAGCCGAGTGAGGGCAGCCTGAGCGCTCTGAAGGTCCTCAGGCCTGAACGTGACCCCACGCCAACCACATCACAGGCTGCCAGAAACTAACATTCTAAGGAACAGTAAGATCTGTCCTCCCTTAGTGTCAAAGGGGAGACTGAGACCCAGAGAGGAGCAGAGACTTGCCAAGGTCACACTGCTGGCAGACCTCTAGCTAAAGATCTGGTTATCAATCAAATCCTGCCTCCTTGCTTGCAAGTTTTCCCATCCTGGCTGGGGTTTCAAGACATTCCCGTGGTGAGAGATGTTAAGGACACAGTTTTGGGGTGGGGAGTGGCAGTGGCTGTTCTTTGTGGAGAACAGCCTGCTAAGAGCAGAGATGGCAGCCCTGGAGGGACCCCCGGCTGAAGCTAAGTAGGAGGTGCTCTCTGACCTGCTTCCCTTTGCACAGTGAGGGGAGGGATGGGGAGCTGACATTGTCCCTTCAGTCCCTGCACCCATGGAAGCCTCCAGAGATGGAACAAGCAGCTTTGGGTCCTGTCTGTTGCTGAGTGTGTGTTTGGTCAGGAGAGAGAGCCTGGGAGAGAGGAAGCAATTATTTTTAGTATTTACTCTCCCATACATGATTCAGTTGAAAAAGAATATCACCTTTACTGTAAAAATCAACTTTAATACGGGAAATGCTTCTACACATGACAAAATTCTCAGCCTTGGGACACAGAAGCATTAATTAATAATGCTGCTGCTCCATGTTTTCTGTCACCCCCAACCCCAATTCAACAGGAGGCCATGGGGCCAAAGAATTGCCATGCTGGAAGGGATAGGAACCAGCCCTTGGGGAGGCAGCCTTGTGCTCTGGGAACCGACCACTTCCTAACCTCCTGTGCCAGCCAAGGCACAAACCTGCCAGAGTAGGTTGCTCCAAGAGACAAACAGAGTGGACTGTGCCAGGACCCAGGCAAAGTCCTCAACTGCCTGATTCAGCACGGGTATCAGCAAGGGGACCCAACACACTGCTTCCGCCCTCTGGGACTCAGTTTCCCCACCTGTGCAATAATGAGGGAGTTGACCCTTCCAGCCCTGATGTTCTATGACTCTAGGGGCTAGACAAGGGTTGGCAAACTACAGCCTACAGATCCAATCAGGCCCTCAGCTGTTTTTGCATAGCTCCTTAGCTAGGAAGTTTAAAGATATTTTTAAAGAACTATTTTTTTTTAAAAAAAGGAAAGAAAGCCACAAGGAAGGCTATGTGACATAGTCTGTATGTGGCCCACAAGGCCTAAAATACTTACTATTTAGCCTTTTACAGAAAAGGTTTGCCAATGACTTCCCTAGACAATGTTAGATTTGTTCTCCTCTCCATCAGAATTCATAGACCTCTCCGGAACTCTTTGGGATAAGTAGGATTTGTCTGTAGCTGTGCAATAGTTGTTGAATTCTCCCACCTCCACTGTCCTGTAAGCTCCAGGGAGGCTTGTTCATCGATGCCCTCCTAGACCCCAGCACACAATAGATCTTCAGTTACTATTTGCTGAATGACTGAATGAATGAGGTCCAGGCTCTTACATCCTCGCAGCCTATATGCAGCACCCCTCAGGCTGAACACTCACTTCGGCATCATGCAGACTGAAACCATATGCTTATTTTACCCAATTAACCATCACTGAGCACTTTACTAGAACAAGGCTCCATGCTAGGCTGGAGCCCAGGCCTGGCTCTGCCCACCAGGAGCTCACAGTCCAGTAAGAAAGATCAGACACAGACACAAATAACTACAATACAAGATAGGCCACTATTCATACCCTGAAAGGAAGATAGAGAAAGTGCAATGCACACACAAAAGGAAGGGGCAATTAAATCTGAACAGGATTAACAGTTCACTCGATAACTGGGCAAAGCCAGGAAAAGACAATTCACAAAAGGGAACGTACTCCAATAAAACAAATATATGAGAAAGTCTTCAGCCTTACTAGTAACCAGAAAAATGCTAATAAAAATTACGAGATATCTTTTTACGATTATTAAAATAATAAAAAAAATCTATTTCAAGCCATAATGCCCCGTGCTCTCAATGGCACAACGAAAGGCTCTCTTGCACAATGCTGTCGGGTGGGAGTGAAGTTGAATAACTACTTGAAATCAATTTGGCAATAATATCAAACATCACAAAAATGTTCCAACTTTATGACCCAGTCATCCCCCTTCCAAGAATTGGTCCAAAGAAAATAATTCAAGTTAAGGAGAGGTTTATGTGCTAATACACGAGATGACTACAGTAGCAGTTATTTGGAAGCAGTCTAAAACCCAGGATCCCCTTCCTACACAGGCTACCTGGTCCTTTAAAGATCACCACATTAGTGGAATCTGACCCTGCCCCCTTGCTCCACAGGAGGAGCCAGCTCCTGAAAAATAGGGTTAGTCTCTGTTTGGGTGGCTGTGTTGTCACATGTAAAGCTTGGGTATGGTCAGTGGGTATTTTCTGCCACATGGAGAGGAAAAGCAGAGGAAGCCAGTCTGCTGAAGAAGAGGGGAAAATATGAAGCCAAGGCAAGCACCAGTGCCTCAGGCATCTGCACCCAGGTTCCAGGTCCCCGCAGCCCAACATTTCTAACCTTGGTTTCTGCAAGATGCCCCAGCAGCCTCTGCACAAAGATCCCTTTTGCCTAAGCTCTTTTAGGTTGAGTTTCTGTCACTTATAACTATTACTAACATACAATGGAAGAGTGGATAACCATTAACAATTGTGATGTTATGAAGCAACATAGGAAAAAAATAGTTTGACCTAATAAAGGGAGAAAAAGAAAAACAGGCTGGGAGGCTGGGCACAGTAGCTCATACTTGTAATACCAGCATTTAGGGAGGCCAAGGCAGGAGGATTGCTTGAGGCCAGGAGTTCAAGACCAGCCTAAGCAATATAGCAAGAACTCCTCTCTACAAAATAATGGGGGGAAAAAAAAAAGCTGGGCATGGTAGTGCATGCCTGTAGTCTCAGCTAATCAGGAGACTGAGGCAGGAGGATCACTTCAACTCAGGCGATTGGGCTGCAGGGAGCCATAATCCTGCCACTGCACTCCAGCATGGGTGTCACAGAGAGATCCCATTTATATTTTAAAAAATTAGATACAACATTACATGTGCACTACATATACCAATGTATGTGCACAGGGAAACTGGAAAGGGATATATTAAAAGTTGTATCAGTGTCAGCGATGTGATATGAGTGATTATTTCCTCTATGCCCTTACTTGCATTGCTTTTCTTAAAATAAAATTCTGATTGAGGAGATGAGCCATAGACCAAACAACAGTGATGCTAAGTGAACACTGCTTGTTGCCCAGAGAGAGGGTAGATATGGAGCTGGGGAACTCAAGAGAAGGATATCTTTATTACCTCCAGCTGGAGAGATCAGAAAAAAATGACGAAGGAAGCAGCATTTGAAATGGGGTTTCAGCAACAGGAAGGACTTGAACAGGGAGCAAAGTGTGCCAGGTGGGAAAGAAAATTGAGATTGAGAGAAAAGGATAAATGGGCGTGGAAGAGCACCACATTTAGGGAAGGAGGAGACATTCCCTGTGGCAAGAGCAGAGGGTACAAAGTGGAGATCAGTAAGAAATCAGGCCACATTGCAGAGGTTTTAAGCTGGCGACCTTCAGGCCACATTGGCCCAGTTTTTTTTACTCACTGGTGGGGTGATCACATATTTCTAAATTAGGTGCTATGGCTCTCATCTCTAACCCTATCCCCTCTAAATTTGCCTTTTATGATGACAGCTGGGACACTAATATTCTGCTTGGCCTGCTGACGATCTCTTAGCCTCTGCCAACAGGGGGCGCTAGAGAGAGATCACAAGGTGGAAGAGCCAGGGAACCACACAATGAAGGTGGGAGCCCTTCCTGATCTGGCTTTAACTTGTAAGGTTCGATACGCACACGTCATATGATCCAGCAACCCCACTCCTAGGTATGTCTTTGAGAATCTCTTCCATGCGCCCTGGGAGGCATGACCAAGAATGTTCATAGTAGCGTTTCATGATAGCAAAATACTAGAAGCAAACCAAATGCCTAATAGCAAAAGAATAGATAATACGTGGTGTTTTACACAGTGAGATATTACACAGCAGGGAAAATGAATGAACTAAGCTACAGGCATCAACATGGATGAATTTTAGAAACAACGTTAGGTGAAAAAAAGTAATTTACAGAAGACTGTGAATATTTTATTGTAATATCAAACAGTATGATTTTTTTATAAAGTTCAAATGCAAATAAAAGTAAATAATATATGGCTTTGGAATATGAATATATGTGCTAAAACTATCACAAAACAGCCAGGAAATCATAAACACCAAAGCCTGGGTTGTGGTCATTTGTAGGGGAGGTGAGGGCTAGAATAAGAAAGAGGTACCCAGACACATGCAAGAGTACCAGGAAAGTTCTAGTTCCAAAAGTGGATGGTGAGCTCATGGGTGCTAATTTTACTATCATGTTTTGCAATGAATATATGCATTACAAATATTGTTCTATATATATATAAAACATTTCCTAATAGACATCTTGAAAAATTCAATCATAAAATAGCTTGTGACCAAGAAATGGTGTTTTCAGGAGGATCCTGTGGGCTCTGCCCACAAATGTACTGGTGGCTGAGGTCTGGGTGAGGATGGAGGTGCTGGGTTGGACTCTGGCCAGCACCATGTCCAGGTATCCCACCTGTTTGCTGCATCCCCAGGCACAGCCACCCTTGAGAGGAGTCAGGAGAGCCTTGACCTGGACATCTGGACCAGCTTCCAGTTCCACGTCTAGCTTACCGAGTGACCTTGATCAAGCTCCCTCACCTCAGTTTTCCCATTTGTACAATGGGAGAGTAGGGAACAGGTGATTACTCAAAGCCTTCATTCTGGTGTTATCGAGTGGCCCAGGTGCCTTGATGGAAAAGATGAGTTAGGAGCTTGATGGTCCTGCTGTCACCAGCTGGGGGACTTTGGGCCTTTTAAGAAGCAGCTTAACTTCTCTCTGCTTAGTTTCCTCATTTGTTAAATGGGGATGGATCAGGTATCTGCCTCATAGGATTATTGTGAGAATGAAATAAAATAATACTTGTAAAGCATCTAGCATAGAGTCTGGAAGAGAAAGCCCCCAGTAGACAGCAGCCATTGTGTGGACGACCAGGCAGCCTGAGTGGCCACACCCTGCTGTGGAAGTGTCCTCCCAAGGGCCACACTCCAGGAGGTGCACCTGGCCCATGTCAGGCCAGGCCTTTTCCCGCTTTCATCATCACTGGCTCCCCCAGTGCTGTCAGGATTAGCTCATTAGTGTGACATTCAGGGCCCCTGCCACCTCTTGCCAACCTCCCTCCCAGCCTTCCTATGGTGCATCCTTCCTTCCTGGTGCATCTGATGGTGTCTGAGTCTAGTCTGATGCCCCGGGGTAGATTCCCACTCCACTTCAAACCAAGGGTGTTAATCCTGTTCACCCCACTCATCAGTAACAGGCCTGAGGCTTACTCCACAGCTCCGGGGATGCAAGGACCATTGCACACTTTCCATAATAAAACCAGTTTGCCCACCCATGTCCATGGTCGACAAGCAGTCCCTCCACCTCCCTTATATGTTACAGAAAGCCCCCAGGCTTACACAGTCCAGTTCTCAGGGCCACTGTCCCTTGTGGTCATGGCTGCCCCGCTTCTTGCTCAGACCCCTGGGGGCCATCCAAACGCAGTTCATTGTGCTGGTCATCCTACTCCTCCTTCTCCACCATGCAAGGCCATGGGGGTCCCTGCTGAGGCTCTTGGGGCTCCCAGGCTCCCATACAGCCCCCTACTGACCCAAGGAACCATATTGCTATGAGGCTCAGGCCCCTCCACCCTCTTAGGAACTTGCCACGCCACCACCTTTCTGAGGCAGGGGATGGGGGAGCAGGACAGGCACTGTACCCTGAGGGTGAACACATGATGTTCAATCCAGAGCACGGGTCCTCTTGGCCCCACCTCACACAACCCAGTGTGATCACCTAGGGTCAAACCCCCGACTAGAGATGGTCTCAGTTCACCTCTCCCTGGCAAATTCTTCACTCTGGACTTAAGACTCCAGAAAGCCTGTTTCCTTCCCCCAGTGAAAGGTCAAAAACAAAACTAAAAGCCCAAACTTTAGAAACATAGGCAGGTTCCCCCCTGGGCAGGGAGACCTGCAGGATACAGTGAAGGCTGGGAAGAAAATGCTTTTGTTCCTCCTGGAGGGCCCATGAGAGTCAACAAAACAAAAAGCCAATTAATTTCTCAATACTCCTGTTGGTTACATATTCAATGTTAGCCAGAATCCAATCTAGCCCACTTTAAGAGAATAGTTCTTATCTTCCCCATCCCACAAAATGCAAACTAAAAGGATAGAAGGCTGTGCATAGCAAGTAAGTAATCATCTTCGGGGTCGCAGGAAGACGTCTGCCTCTTCAGTGGGAAAGCTTTGGAAATACATCATGTTTCCCTTTGACCCTGTAGTCCACTGAAGAATGACCCCCAAAATCTCCAGGTCCTAATCCCTAGAACCTGGGAATGTTACCTTATGTGGCAGAAAGGGTCTTGGAAGGTGTGATTAAATAGGGATCTTGAGATGGGGAGGTTATCCTGAATTATCTAGGAGGGCCCTAAATGTAATCACAAGTGTCCTTATAAGAGGGAGGCAGAGGGAGTTTTGCCACCACTGGAGAAGGCAATGTGACCACGGCAACAGAGACTGGAGCACTACAGCTGCAGGCCAAGGAATGGAATGCCAGAACCTGGAAGAGGTAAGGACATGGATTCTCCTCTGCAGCATCCTGAGGGAATGTGATTCAGACTCGGTTTGGATTTCTGGCTTCCAAAACTGTAAGAGAATAAATTTCTGTTGCCTTAAGCTATTAGGTTTAAGTTCATTGGTTACAGCAGCCACAGGAAACAAATATAAGCCCTGACTGCCAGGAACCTGTGACCTCAACTACTGCAACCTTCTTGGTCTAAAAGGTCTGAACAATTAGGTTCCTCCTGCTTTATCTGTAGGGTATAAATAATTTGTGTCTAGAAAGAAAGAGGCAAGTAAATGAATAGGTAAACTGAGGCTAGATCGTAAGGATGGTCTCGATCTCTTGGCCTCATGATCCGCCCACCTCAGCCTCCCAAAGTGCTGGGATTATAGGCGTGAGCCACTGCGCCTGGCCATAAATGATCTTAAATGACAAACTAAGGACTTTAGCTTTTACTCTGCAGATTGTGGGAAGCCATAGAAGTGGAGGAGGGAAATGGTGTGAACAGATTTCTTTTTAATACACTACAGCTCTGTAGAGAAAGAATGGGAGGCAGCCAAACTATATGCCAGGACACGGGGAAGAAACTATCACAATAATGCAGGAAAGAGATGAGGATGGCGGGACCCTGAGGGGTCAGGTGGGGAGACACCCACAGAGGCCTCTGGGTCCTGGCAGAGAATAAAGAAGAGTAGCTTTTATAAGAAGGGGGCAGAAGGAGAGCAGGTGATTTTCAAAAAGGACAAGCCAGGTTCCCTTTTATTTGGATGAAATCTGGCCTAAGAAGAGGAAAGCATTTGATCACATGTCTCTGGATATATTTTTAAATGGCAAAAGCCAATCAAATCATTCACTTAAAAAAGAAACACTTTTGAAAATTCCAAGCAGATAAGCCCATCTCTGGCTAGTACAGCGATCAATATAAGTCAGTTCACACACTTGCTTTGGGTCATATTTTGGAAAGCATCCAGCCACATTTCATGTGGGGCTTTGTGTGATCGATGCAAATGACATGCAGATGTGGGACTTTTACAAGGGAGGTTGCCTGGTAAACAGAAAGGTACCTTAGGCTGGGAGGCAGGAGCTCCTGGGTTCAGTCTTGACTTTGCCCCTAGCTGTGTGGCCTCAGACAAGCACTGGCCCCTCTCTGGGCCTCAGTTTGTCTCTAGATCAGCAGTGTTCAAATAGGTGGCAGAGCTCTGGAATTTTTTTTTTTTTTTTTTTTTTTAGATGGAGTTTCACTCGTTTCCCAGGCTGGAGTGCAATGGTGCAATCTCGGCTCACCTCAACCTCCGCCTCCCAGGTCCAAGCAATTCTCCTGCCTCAGCCTCCCAAGTAGCTGGGATTACAGGCATGTGCCACCAAGCTCGGCTAATTTTGTATTTTTAGTAGAGACGGGGTTTCTCCATGTTAGTCAGGCTGGTCTCGAACTCCCGACCTCAGGTGATCTGCCCGCCTCAGCCTCCCAAAATGCTGGTATTACAAGCATGAGCCACTGCACCTGGCCAGAGCTCTGGAATTCTTAAGAGCACTGGGGCCATACAGGCCTCAAAGTGCCCAGGTATCCCTCTCCTGCATCTTGCAGGAGGCTTGTTCAAAGGTAAAAACCATTTGTTCTCTTACTTTAGCTGACGTTTATTGACTACTCACTATCTGCCAAGCACTGTTCTAAGACCCTTGCTTGTGGTACTTGTTTTGCCAATGAGGAAACAGAGGCACTAAGAGATGAAATGACTGGTTAAGGTTGCATAGCTAATATGTGACACAGCTGAGATTTGAACACACACAGTCTGGCTCCAAGGCCTGCCATTTCAGAAGCTTGCTTCATGCCTCTGTTTATTCTGTGTCCCCACAGCCTTGTTCATTTCATCCTCCATTGCCCCTGGAGCACGCTGCCGTGGCTGTTTGTGTCCCCCCACCTCGCACCTTGGTAAGTTGTAATCCTAACCCCTAAGGTGATGTTACTAGAAGGGGACTTTAAGAAGTGATTAGAAGGCTGGGCACGGTGGCTCATGCCTGTAATCCCAGCACTTTGGAAGGCCGAAGCGGGTGGATCACCTGAGGTCAGGAGTTTGAAACCAGTCTGGCCAACATGGAGAAACCCTGTCTCTACTAAAAATACAAAAATTAGCTGGGTGTGGTGGCACATATCTGTAGTCCCAGCTACTTGGGAGGCTGAAGCAGGAGAATTGCTTGAACCCAGGAGGTGGAGGTGGCTATGAGCCAAGATTGTGCCATTGCACTCCAGCCTGGGTGACAGAGTGAGACTGTCTCAAAAAAAAAAAAAAAAAAAAAAGTGATTAGGTGATAAGGACGGGGTTCTTGTGAATGGGATTAATGGGATTAGAGCCCTTATAAAAGAGGCCCCAGAGAGCTCCTTTATGCCTTCCACCATGCAAGGACACAGCAAGAAGGTGCCATCTATGAACGAGGAAATAGGCCCATATCTGACACAGAATCTACCAGCACCTTGATCTTGGATTTCCCAGCCTCCAGCACTGTGAGAAATAAATTTCTATTGTTTATAAGCTACCCATTATGGAATTTTTATTATAGCAGCCCAAACAGACTAAGACACATGCTGTCCAGTACAACTCTAAGTTGACCTGTTAGATTCTTCCAGCTACTCTTGGAGCACCTGAGGATCAGAACTAAGTCCATTTTTATCTCTGTCGACTCTCCCCACCCCCATAACAAGCCTCACACCTGTCAGCTTAGCTATCAGTGACAATTACTAAGGAATTGTCTGAATGAAGGTTGAAATGAGGGTCAGAGCGAAGCCCAGCAATAAAGCACCCCCTCTGCCCACATACTGGGCACCAACTCTGTGCCAGACCATGCACTGGGCACTGTGGACACAGAGGAATCCGACTGGGCCCCTGACCTCCAGAAGCCCAGCCTGGCCAGGCAGACAGATCTGCGAGCTGATAACAGAAGCCCAGTGTGCCATTGTCTAGCATCACCCAGACAAAGCTCACTTACACTGGGGAAAATCATAACGACATTGCAGGAAACCTGCCTGTGCTCTGACAGCCAGCCCCCAACCTCCCAGACTTGGAGCGCAGTCTGTCCTGAGGGAGGGCAGACAGATGATGACCCTGGCCGGCCAGCCCCCTACCCTCCCCCAGAGGGCTCTTCATTCCCTCAGTCAGACATGCACAGAGCAGCACGAGGCTGGCCCTGGGGGGCACAGATAAGATGAATCAGACATGGTCCATGCCCTCAGGGATGTCACAGACTAGTGGTCAGAGTGAGCTACAGACACAATAACTGCCTCACTAACATGCAGGACTCTCTGAGCCATGAGCAAACCACCTCCAGGTGCCAGGTGAAGGGAGGCTGATTCACATATTACAGCTTCCAGACACACATTGAACCAAACCTTGACTTAACAGTCACACAGCAGTCACTAGCAGAACCGGGACAGAAACTCAAGCATTCTCTCTCTTTATTCCCCATCCTCTGCCCCAGTTTGGAAAGTGGAAATGTTAGAGACTTAATAGGTACCTGTTCTCCCTGGCAGTTGTTGAAATTTTGGTGACAACAGACAAAATAACTCAATGCTCCCATTTCCTGGGCTCACAGGGACAGTGGCCACAATCCTCGTGCAGCTATTGCTCTCACACCCAGCTCAGCCAAAGGCCTGCTGAATTCCAGACAGAGAAACGTGATGGTGTGGGCCCCAACCCACACCATCAGCCAGACCCAGTAGGTCAGAATCATGGCCGCCCCCAGAAGGAGCCAGCCCTGCCCTCAAACCAAGCTCCATTTACAGCCCCTTCATGATGCAGGCAGATGCTGTGATGTGTCGGCAGAGGGCTGGGCACACTGGAGGGTCTATGCCAAGGACTGAAGAGGCCTCCACATCCTGTGCCTGGTAGGAATCTTGAGGCTTGCCAGTGAGTGCATGGAGGCTTTAAGTAGACCTCCCTGCTGTATGCAGTTGTCTAGTGAGCAGGAGCACAGGCTCAGGAGGACTGAATTTGAAGTAAGATGCTCAGCACCCTTAGCCCCATTTTCCTCACCTGTAAAATGGGGATATTGAGAGGAGCCTCGAATAGCCATAAGGACTGAGTGGGATAATGCACACAGAGCTCTGAGCATGGTGCCAGCCTGTAAGCAGAGGTCAGCAGACCACAGCAGCTGATAGCCGTAATCACAGCATGAGTTGTACAAACAGTGGTATCAGAGCTGCAGGGTCACTGGAATGGACAGAGGCTACAGGTTTCAGACAGGGCCTGCAAGGTCTTTGAACTTCTAGGAGCTACCTCAGGGCTCAGAGGCCACACGGTGGAATCAGACAGGGCTATCCCTAGAAGGGAACAAAGCATGGGGCAATTCAATTAACACAGGGCCACCCTATAGAGTATATACAAAATGATTATCGTTAAAAACAAAGTCAGTGCCAAATGGCGTCCATCTTAGTGTAGTCAGTCAGCAATGCCCTGAAACACTCCAACACCCCAGAAGCAAAGGGTCTAAGAGGCCTGGGCTTAGGGAAGTGCCAAATATTTTGGCTCATATTCTATTCTCAGCACCTAGCGCAGAGCCAGGCACACAGAGGACCTTTGATAATTTTGGCAGGATAAAAAAGAACTACTGGGCAGAGTTCTAGCCCCAGTCAAAGGACCTCCCTCTCACTTCTGTTTTATATAATGAGCTTCTATTATATGGAAGATTTTCCTTTGAAGTAAAAGAGTTTTAAAAAAATAAAACTGAGGTCGGGCGCAGTGGCTCACTCCTGTAATCCCAGCATTTTGGGAGGCCAAGGCAGGCGGGTCACCTGAGGTCAGGAGTTTGAGACTAGTCCAGCCAACATGGGGAAACCCTGACTCTCTGAAAAAATACAAAACTTAGCCAGGCATGGTGGTGCGCACCTGTAATCCCAGCTACTGGGGAGGCTGAGGCAGGAGAATCGCTTGAACTTGGGAGGCAGAGTTTGCAGTGAGCCAAGATTGTGCCATTACACTCCAGCCTGGGTGACAAGAGCAAAAGTCTATCTCAAAAAATAAATAAAAATAAGAAATAAAATTGAAATCCAATGAACTCGTTTATGCTCCTCCTTTTATAGAAGGGGAAACCGTGGCACAGAAAGGCAGATTCAGGCTTTCTCCCCCACCCTGTAAGGTCATACTCCAGGATGCTGAGGCTGTGGGGCGAAGAGCAGAGCTGGTCTGGGTGCTGCTAGAGTTACAGCCCCTGGGCTCCTGGTACTAGAAGGGCAGAAAGGGTGCAGAGCCTCTGACCCCACCACTGCTGGGAACGGAACACGAGTGCACCATCAGAGGTGCCACCCAAGATTTATGCACCAGAACGTTTAACATCATGTTATTTATAATATTGAAAAATTGGAAATGACCTAGAAACAGTCTAATAAATTATGCCAAAACCTTTCAATGGAATATAAATCAACTACCAAAATTTATCTCTTTGGAGGCTATTAACTGGTGACTTAGAGTCAAGGCAAAATAAGGCTGACACCAATTTTTAAAAATACGTATATACAAAAAAGTGTTAAGAATAGTTATTTGGGGGAGGTTGGAGGAAGTTAATGAGTAATTTTTTTATTGTTTTACATATTGTCTCTTTTTCCCAATTTCCTACAGTAACATACATTGCTTTTAGAATCAAAAAAGTAAAAAAAAAAAAAATTAAGATTCCCTGCCCAAGGCCAGGTAGGACCCTCTGAGAGGGCCAGCCTCATTCATCCCTTAGTGCAGCAAACTACCACTATCTTATTTCAGGCCCTTGTGTTTCCAGACACTGGAAATGTTTTAGACATGTGGATCCCTGTTTTTTTGTTTGTTTGTTTGTTTGTTTTTTTGAGAGAGGGTCTCAGTCTGTCACCGAGGCTGGAGTGTAATGATGTGATCACTGCTCACTGCAGCCTCAACCTCCCAAGGCTCGAATGATTGTCCCACCTCAGCCTGCCAAACAGTTGGAACTACTGGTGCACACCACTACACCTGGTTAATTTTTGCATTTTTTTTTGTAGAGACTGGGTTTTGCCATGTTGCCCAGGCTGGTCTTGAACTGGGATCAAGTGATCTGCCCGCCTCAGCCTCCCAAAGTGCTGGAATTACAGGCATGAGCCACCGTGCTTGGTCTTGGATGCCATCTTTAATCCATTTCATGAGTCAGTTGCCAAATATTAAAAATATTAATAGGCTCCTTCTTAATTGCTGAGTAAAGCATTAAAGATTCTCAAAGTGTCATAATATGTATTTTGCATTTAGGGAAGCAGTTTAAATGTTCAAATTTTAAAACACCAAAAGCTATTATTTTTGTCTTTAGTGCCCTGTAGATTACCCTCTGCATTCTAAGAAGGAAACATGCCCACTCTTGTCCCTGCCTAGACTTTAGCAGTTCCTTTTTTCTTCCAACTAAACTTATCACTGGTGCTAATGGTCCCTGGTGCACTGTGTGACTTTGAACAAGTTACTTGACCTCCCTGGACTTCAGCTACCCCTCTATAAGGGCCTTTCTGGCTTGAGATTCTTACTCTCTCTCAGCTTCAGTTCCCTCGTGGCAGCCAGCTGGCAGTTTTCAGCCTCCAGATGCGTTGGCTGCGCCCTTACATGGTGCCCCTCAAATGTTAGGTCAGTTGATTTCAGCACCCAGAGTTCCAAGAGAAGTCAGAGAAGCAGCGGCACCTTCCAGGGGCGGTGCTAAGGTAGATTTGGCATCCTAAATGGACAAATCATTCTCATCTAAATCTTTATGGGCTCCCAGTGCCTCATTAAACATCCAAGCCCCCAAGGCTCTGAATCACAGCTCCTCTTCCCTCACAGCCCTCCAGGAGGAGTTCTGATTACCCCATCAATTACATGCTGTCGGAGGGTATCTGCAGGCCCTTCATCTTGCAACATTTTTATGGGATATGGATCCTGCCCGGCTCCCAGTCCCTCCATCCCCATGGTTACCAGGGAGGGTACAAGCCGAATGTCCTCCTTGGAGCACTAGCTCAATCTCTGCTGATGTTTCTCCCCTCTCAGAAACGCATTAAATTCTCCCAAATGGAGAAGTATTTGTTCTCAGGTCTTCTACCAAAATGAAGTCCAGGTGGCCTGCAGATCCTGCTGCCTCAGTAAAACCAAACAAACCACTTTCTAGACATTCTCACTCCTCCTGGGTGTTCAAAGGGGCTGGCCCAGGGGCCAGAACCACTACTAGGACCCCAGTCTCAGGGTCAGACCCCAAATAGCCATGGTGACCAGCCAGCCAAACAGAAGGAATGGCTAGAGGAGCCATAAAATCAAAGTACAAAGGAAGGGGCCAAAACCCCCTCAGCTCACACCACAGACTCAAAATCTCCCTCTCTCAGCCCAGTGGTGCCTGCCTTTGATCCCCAGATCTGGTGTGCCTCCACCTCACCCCTGGCCATTTTGGTCCATTGCCTACTATCTTGGTTTGGGTTACCCCAAATGCTGACTATGAGACAAGGATTCAGGTGTAAGCATTTATTTGGGAGATGACCCCAGAAAACTCCTATTGGAGAGTGGGATGTGGAGCAGGGAAGTGAGTCAGCCAGCAAAAGGTAGACTGTAAAGCTTTAACCCACTGGGGAACTCTAGGAGCTGGTGCCAAACTCATGCCTCTGAGTGCTCCACCTCCCACCTTCCAGGAGCAAGGAGCTGGGGTATGTGCACACCAACCTCAGCCAGTCATTGGCAGGAGACTGCAGGGAGGACAAATTATCCAATGCTTGTGACCTGCCATAGACTCTGGCAGGCAGGATAAGTCCTTGGGCAGAGAGATGCAGATGCTGTACTTGGAAATCAGGTATCCATGATGATGCTGGGGATGAAAGATCAGCTGCTACACCTGTTCAGCCACTTAGCAGCAGCTCACCTCCTCTGGGAAGCTGTTCTGGCTGCAACATCCTGTGCAAAGTTAGAGTTTTCTTCCTTTTTGTAATGTCACTTCCTTTAGAGGAGGCAAGAAATGCCAGGATGCTGGGACTCGGGGCAGGGAAGTAAGTTGCCCACAGAGCCAGTGATTGCAGAGACAGGCTGCTGTGATGATCTCACTAGGAATGATGGTGTGGTCTGCACCCGGATGCTCCTCCATTCCCAATACTCAGGTGAAGCCTTTGTGCCCTATGGAAAACTTGGATAGCCCTGAGCTGCATGATCTATGTGGGTTCCCAGAGTTCCCCAGTGAGAGGAAATGCCAGTCACCCACGATGGTCACTTGCTGATAACACTCCCTTTATTGGCAGCCTCCCTTCCCTGCTTTACTTTCTCACTCTCCTACATGTGTTTCCTGGAATCACCTTCTAAATAGACTACTTGCACTCAAACCTTTACCTGAAGACTACTCCGAGAAACCCAACAGCGATAGCAGGCGATGAGCAGAAGTAGAGGGACATGGAGATGCTTTTCTGGAGAAATCTCAGTAGCAAGACTGAATAGTATAAAAATGTGAATTCTTCGCAAATTAAATTTTCTGCTCAATACAGTTCTAGTCAACATGATAATGGAAAAACACTTAGAACATCATTTTTAAAAATAATTTTTAAGGTAGTATATTAACTTCCTACTGCTGCTATAAAAAATTACTGCAAATTTAGTGGCTTAAAACAACACAAATTTATTTTCCTATAGTTGTGGGGGATGAGAAGTTCAAGATGAGTCTTAAGGAGCTAAAAGCAAAGCGTTGGCAGGACTGGTGCCTTCTGGAGGCTCCAATGGGTAATCTGCTCCCTGTTGTTCTGGCTTTTAGAAGGTGCTTGTCCTCCTTGGCTTGTGGCCTCAGGACTCCAATCCCTGTTTCTATGGTTTCCTCTCTCTAACACCCCTGCCTCCCTCTTACAAGAACCCTTGTGATTACATAGGGCCCCTCCCAGATAATTTAAGATAATCTTCCCATCTCAGAATTCTTAAGAATCTTAATCACATCTGCAAAGTCCCTTTTGCCATGTAAAGTAACATATTCACAGGTTCCAGAGATGAGGACCTGGACATCTTTGAGGGGTCATTATTTAGCCCTCCACAGTTAGAGGAGACAAGTAAATGAGCTGAAATTGCAAAGAAATTTTTGAAGAAATAAAGAGTAATGAAGGTAGACTTGCTTACCTGATAAACTCTAAAATCCTAATAATTGAAACTGTACTATTGGTGGAAAAATCAACACTAACAGGATCATAGAAATAGACCCAATGATAGGTTAAAAGTTGGTTTAAGATAAATGTGGTAGATCAAATAGGTGAAGAAAGGAAGAAGTTATTATTCAATATACAGTCTAGTTGGTTAAGTTCCTGAGGACAAATAGTTTTCTTACAATTTAAAACAAAATACAGGTAGATTAAAGAGTGTAATGTTTAAGAGTTTAACCAATAAAGGGCTAGAAGCAAATAAAAGTAAAAATATTTACTAGCTTTGGGTATTAAGAAGGATTTCTCTGCCCGTAATCCCAGCACTTTGGGAGGCCGAGGTAGAAGGATCTCTTGAGACCAGCCTGGGCAACATAGAAAGACCCCATCTCTACCAAAAAAAGAAGGATTTCTCAGTATAAAGTCAATAAAATTCATAACAGAAAAGGTTAATGAATTCAACTACATAAAACTTAAAGTCTCTATGTCAAATGTACCACATGAAAAAGAGTTTGACATCCTAAGTCATCAAGGAAATGAAAATCATTATTGCAATGAGATGCCACTACAGACCACTAGAATGATTAAGATTTAAAAAACTTATAGCACCATATGTTGGCAAGATATGGAGAAACTAGAACCTCATACACTGCTGGGGCGAGTGTTAAATGGTACAATCACTTTAGGAAACAGTATGGCAGCTTCTAAAAAAAGTTAAATGTACACTTGCCATATAATCCAGCAAACCATTCTTAGATATTTAGCCAAAAAAATATGTCCACAAAAAGTCTTGTACGAAAGTGTTCATTGGAGCATTATTTATAATAGCTAAATACTAGAGACAACCCAAACGTTGGCCCACCAGAGAATGAATAAACAAACTGTGCTATGTTCATACAATGGAATATCACTAAGCAATAAAAAGGAAGAGCACATCAACTGTGACAACATGGGTAAATCTCAAACACATCATGCTGAGTGGAAGAAGCCAGACACAGAAAAGGCCATGCTTTACAATTCCACCTGCATGAAATTCTAGAACAAGCAAGACTGATCTATGGTGATAGAAATCAGAGCAGTGGTTGCCTCTGGCAGAGCAGTGGGAGGGTGAGGATTGGACTGGAAGAGAGCACAGAGAAACTTTCTAGGGTAATAGAAATATTTATATATATGTTCATTTTTTTCTTTCAAAGTAGTGATTGTCCTGAAGAATCAGAGAGGAGTACTCAGGGTGTTGCAAGTCCTGATTAGGCAGAGGCATTAATCACATTTCATGCATCTCCAATCATCATGTTCTATCTGCCCTCCAAAACGAGGAACAGGTAAGGATTATCCCACCCATCGATAAGCATTATATATTTTGATAGAAATGTGGGTTACACAGGTATATGCATTTGTCAGAATTCATGAAACTTACACTTAAGCTCTATGTCAGGGTGACCAATCTTTTGGTCTCCCTGGGCTACACTGGAAGAATAATTGTCTGGGGCCACACATAAAATACACTATTGTCACAGGATCCTTGGGGTGTCACTTTTCTGGCTGGAAACCTCTGTGGCACCTTTGCCTGAGTTTTGCTTGGGCCCACTGGGCTCGTTCTGCCCACTTGGCCTGGCAGGCTTTGCTCACCTTGCACGAAAAGCCTGGATCCCACGCCTGCCAAGGGCAATTCAGGTGCAGAGTGATAAGGGGTATGTGAGTGAGTGAACGTGAGGTCTGGCTGCTGCACACAGCCAGGCACTCCAGCTGCGGCAGGGCAGGCAGCTCCAGGCACTGGCATGGGTGCCGGTTCCCTGCGAGGCTACAGCTGGACCAGGCGTACTGCAAGCAGTTTCTATGGCTGGCACTGGGGAACATGGTGGTGCCTGGAAGCTTGGAGACTCCAAGAACTGCAGAACTCCAAAAAGGGTGTCACAGCCCTGGCTCAAGGAGCTCGTAGGTCTGGGATCCCCAAAGGGCTGAAACTCTTCTCTCCTTCTCTCTTCTCTCCCTCTCATCTTCCGCAATGTGGCAAGCAAAGGACATGTTTCAGTCCTGTCTGTGTTACAGTTCTTTCAGCCCTGCCACTCAGCAGGTCCCAAGTTCTTGTCCTGCATCCAGAAAGAATGAGGTATGCAGACAAGTGGAGGGTAGCAAGGTGAAGAAGTGCTTTATTGAGTGATAGAACAGCTCAGAGGAGACCCGCAGTGGGTAGCTGTCTGCAGGCAGGTCATCCCAACAAGTGTCCAGCTCTCAGCAGAGAGAAGACCCACAGTGGGTAGCTCCTCTCTGCAGACAGGTCATCTGTGCAAGTCTGGCTGAGTCTGGGGTTTTTACATGCCTCAGAGGGGAGGAAGTATGTGCTGATTGGTCCATGGGCAGCCATGGGCAGACCCAGAAAAAGCACCAAAAGTTCTCACTGTGGTCGGCAGAACTGGCAGCCTGGACCCCAGGCTGTCCCTGGCCTGAAGCGGGGGTTTCATCAGGGACACGCCCCTTTCTGCCCAGGAGCCTGTCTGTCTCCTGCTGCCATTAACCTGCCATCCACGGTGCCCACAGTGCTCAGGCTGTTCATGCTGAGGGGTGCCTGCAGACATGCCCTAGCCACCCTTATCCCTGCCTTGGCCTCTCTCCCCTGCTCATCTGCATTCAAAGTCTGGAGGGGGCTGAAGCAGCAGGGAGCTGGCGTGTTAGCACTGCCCTAAGTGTGCACACACCCAGCTGGGTCATGACAGCACCTGGGCTCAGCCACAACTTTGCTCCAAAATTGGAGTGGATGCTGGGAGTGGGAGAGGCCAGGCAGCAGGAGCAGTAACTTCAGAGCCTTCAGGGACAGGGGACTTCCTGGGCCCCTAGAGTGCAGAGAGGCCTGGGTCTGCAGCCATGGCTGGGCAGCTCCAGCTGCCCCAGTAGGGTGGGGCTCTCACACCTCCAACTTGGAAGCGGGCAGGGCTTCTGCCTGTTCCCAGCTCTCACTGGCTCTGTGGAGCGGGCAGCCCTGGCTACCCCGCCCCCACTGCAGCCAGTATCATGGCAGCAGCCAGGCCACCACCGCCATCACTAACACTAACAAAAGCTGATGAGCTAAAAACAAACAAACAAAATCTCATAATATTTTAAGAATGTTCAGGAATTTGTGTTGGGCCACATTCAAAGCTGTCCTGAGCTGCATGCAGCCCGTGGGCCACAGATTAGACAAGCTCGATTGTGCATTTCAGTAACAAAAAGTGATGCCAGGTGCATTGGCTCAAGCCTGTAATCCCAGCACTTTGGGAAGCCAAGGCAGGCAGATCACTTGAGATCAGGAGTTCGAGACCAGCCTGGCCAAAGTGGTGAAACTCCGTCTCTACTAAAAATACAAAAATTAGCCAGGCATGGTGGGGCGTGGTGGGGCTGAGGCAGGAGAATCACTTGAACCTGGGAGGCAGAGGTTGCAGTGAGCCGAGATTGCACCACTGCACTCCAGCCTGGGTGATAGAGTGAGACTCCATCTCAAAAGAAAAATAAAAAAAGTGAAAGAAACAAACAAAATTAAACGCAAATAAATTAAAAATAATGTTGTGAAAAATATGACAATCTTATAACTTTAATATATAAAGATTACTTGAAAATGAATAAAATAATATCCAAAAGAAAGAAAAATGAATATGAACAGTCAATTCCCCCCAAAAGAGGTGAATATACACACACACAGACACACACACACACACACACACAGAAATGAAGGTATGAACAGTAATAAAATAGTAGGAATCGATACTACACATGTATATATATATACACGTGTGTATATATATACATATGTGTATACATATATATATGAAGTGATCAAAGAAATCTATGAAAATTAGTAATAAAAGAAATAGAAAGTATAATACCAATGAATCTAGATATCAAATTAAATAACAGAGATTGTTTAACAATGGTGAAACTAAATGGCTGTCTGGATAAAGAAGGGGACGGTGCTCAGTAACTGCTCACCCAAAGCTTAAGCAAAATCCTTCCTCGGTCCAATCTGTTTTCAAGTCTGCAGCACATGGCAGAAATGATAACATCCAGGTCGGCATTCTGAAACCCAGCCACTGCTGTCCGGGTCACCCAGAGGGCTCCATTTGGAAGCTGAGAGGTGGAGAACCCTGAGCCCTCCATGTTCTCTATGCTACCCAGGAATTTCCATCCTGACTCATAAATTCTTTCCCACCTCCCTCATATCTGCAACCCACATCATTACCTAGAGTCTAACTCATTCAGTTCTCCCATCTGTCTTCACTCTGTATCGCCTAAGTCTTTTCAATCACTCCCTCCCCAGTTTTCTCATGTAAAAGATTGACTTTGATAATCTGATATCAGTCAATAATTTCCCAGAATGTCACAGGGCCTGAGGAAAGAGGTTTCCCTGATAAGATATCATCTTATTTCCTTTGTATAAGAATGTGCTATCAGTAAATGAGCAGAAAGGAAGACAGTTCAGAGAGGTGAAATGCAATTAATAAACAAACATATTAAAATATTCAACCTCACTGGGAATAAGAAAAATACAAATGAAATTAAGCCCTCATTTTTACCTATAAAATTAGAAAATAATTAATTTGTATTTACAATACCTAATCCTGAGAAGAGAATAATAAAATTGGGGGTACTGTGTATTGTACTGCCCTTTGAGAAAGCAGTTTGACAATATATATTGAGTCATAAAAATGTTCACACTGTTGACCCAGCAATTCATCTTCTGGAATGGTACACTGAAGAAAAAACTCAAAAAAGAGAAGAGAAAAAACTTCACGTACAAAGATATTCACAGTTGTTCAGAAACCATATAAATAACCCACAAGAAGAGAGTTAAGTAAATTAAGGCACATGTATAAAATGAAACTGTCTGTAGGCATTAAAGTATGACTTAATGGAAATGCAAAAGCAATTTACTGAAAAAATGATCAGCCACCCTCATGATTAAATAAATGCAATTAAAGTGATAGGGATATACCATTTTCCACCCTTCAAATGGACAAAGATTTAAAATCTCATTAATGTCCTTTTGGGAAAATGAGGGCATGTTTATTTACTGTTTGTGGGAGTGTAAATATTGTGACTTCTTGTGCATATGTGGGTAAACTATCCAAGCATACAAAAAATATGGGCAGTAATATAACAAACACCTGTGTATCTCCTACTTAAGCTCCAAAATATTCACATGTATGTGACTTCTTTGAAGAGCAGTTTTGCATTGCCTATCACACTTCTAAATGTATATATTCTTTAACTCCGATAATTCCATTCCTAAGAATTTTATGTACAAAAATAGTTCCACCTGTGCACAAAAATAAGTATGTTAAAAGGTATATTGCAGTATTCTTTTTAATGGCAATAGATTAGAAACAATAGAAAGTCCACATAGTAGAGAACTGTCGAACAAGCCCTACTCCATCCCCACAACAGAACAGCATCCCGCTCTTGAAAGGGAGTGAGCTCTCTCTATATGCTAATAAGGAAGTATCTCCAAGATACAGCATTGAGTGAAAAAGCAAGGTGCAGAACAGTATGCACAGTAGGATCCCACTTGTCTATTTTAAAATATATGCACATATATGCTTGTATATGCATTAAAAATTTTGGGAAGAATTCCCAAGAAACTAATGAAAAGCAGTTTCCCTACAGGAAGGCAGGCTGAGGGAGGATGGAGAAGACTTTCATTTTCATCTTTTATTCCTTCTGAACTGTTTGCATTTTGTTTTACCATATGCATGTGTTGCTTTTGTCATTTAAAAACTAACTTTAAAAGATAAGTATGAATACTACATTGCAAATGGGAAATGCATATAATATTAAGTGAACAAGATGGACTCTGCTGTGCATGTCATGCAGCTGTATACAGCAGGGTCTTGTGGAGACAAAGGTAATCCTGCTGCCTCTGTCCTTAACTCCAGCCCTGCCATCTACTCCAGAATCCCCTCCCTCTCCCCAAACTTCATCCTCTCCCTTGAGCATTAACACATCAGGTGTCTCCTCATTAAATCAAAAACAAAAACTCAGCAACCTCTCTGGCTCCAGCACTCCCTGTTCCTTTCATAGCCCCTCCAAGCTGGCTTCCATCCCATCACCCCCTTGTCCCCAGCTTTTTCCAAGCTCTCCAGTCACTCGGTTGTAAAATTACTTTTCCATTACCATATCACTGGAGCTCTCTGAAGAGGATTACTTCCTCATTATCTCCTCCTGAGGCTTGGATCACCCTGGACCCTTCCAGACTCTCCCAGCTCCTGGAAGCCTCTTCCTGGCCAGTCTCCTCCCTGAACTCTGGCAGATTAAGCTCTAGCCCTTCTCTCTCTTATCTATATACAGTCTCCCTAGATGATCTCATCTATTTGTGCTGCAGAATCCTCACTTGTGTAGTGAAGACACCCTGACACAGCCTGTGGATGCTGTACTGTTTCTTGATCCAGCATACATTCCTAGGAATGACACCTCACTTCTGCTTTGGGGAATTGCTCATTCTCAATTCCACATGGTCACAGGGGAACTGCCAATCACAATGGCCCTGTCCTCTAACTTTAGGACTGGGGCACTCTTATTCATTCTTGATCCAGGCCAATCAGAGTTCCCCCAGAACTCTGCTGCTGGCAGAAATTAGCCTCTTTCCCCTGGAGACACTAAGCCTTATCTGGTGGAGAGAACCTACATGCAGAATGAAGCCAAATACAGCCCAGCAGAACTGAGATGCGGAGAGACAGAGAGATGGACAGACAGGCTATAACTGACATCATTAAACATCACTGAACCCCTAGGTCCAGCCATGCCTAACATCAGAACCAACCAACCCCTGGACTTTCCACTAACAAGAGCCAATAAATTGCTTTTCTGACTTGAGACAGTTAAAGTTAGGATTATGACTCATAACTAGAAGAATGCTGGCTAATATACTCCTAAACCACTATCCGAAGCTTCAAATTTATAAGCACGACAGTCTGCTGGATATCTCCACTTGCAAGCCACCATGAATCTCAGCCTCAACACGTCCAGAACTGAATCCTTTGTCTTCCCTGCCTCCAGCCACCTAGCTCCTCCACCACGGTCTTTTCCCAGCCTCTCCAGCCACTAGACACACAAGCTAAAACAGAGCCAACAGAAAGCTTGAAATAATAGCTTTTTCTGCCTTGTTTGAGATTTTCCAATTCAATTTTGTAAACATCAAATACTGTATTCAGTTGTACGAGTTCCAGGAAACTAGGTTAAAACGGCATCTTTAGAAAGACTGAGGATCCGCTATGCAGGAGCTGTGCATCAGTGCCTCAAGCAAGTGCTTTCCAAAGGGTTAGACTTCCTCCCCCTTCACTAGCCCAGAAATCATTGCTGATGAGTCCATGCAGATTGGATTTCACCTTTCCCAAACCTAATACTTTCAGCTAATGGCAGTCCCAACACTGCTATGAGAAGCAACTCGCCAATCACTGCACACCTCCAAGCCCATCACCCTACTCCTCAAGAACTTTCTATGGCTCCCCATCACCAAAAGGCTCCAACCACCCTGGATCATCTACTGCTCACTGGACATACTGCATGCATTTCTGCCCTGGGATTCCACTCACTCTCTTCCCTAGTCATTCTATTTCCACCTCGTCTCTGCTTCCATCCTGCCAAGGCATGGATCAAATTCACTCCATCCAGGAAATTGTGGTGCCACCTTCATTCCCAAGTAGGATAAAAATGCCTTCTTCTTCCGATACTCAAAGAACTTATTTGTAACTCTGATGCCTCTGAGAACATATGCCTTTGGTTAGTTTCCATGTGTGGATTCATACAGCTCATCTCCCCAGCTAGGTTGTCAAGTCTACTTGAAGCCTCACCTCAAAGCTGGATTGATGTCTTCCTCCTCTGAGTTCCCGTAGCAATGAGGTGCATCTCCCACACTGCCTTTCACAGTGACTATAACTGCCTCTTCCCAAATCCAGCTCTCCTCTTTTTGTGTGGGTGCCGGGCGAACTCGTGTCTGTCTCCATCACAAGACCCCTGACACCTTTGCTTGATGCCATCAGGTACTGTCCCCTTAATCAGATGACTTTGAGAGCTTGAATCAATTCAGCTCAGCTGAAAGGCTGCCTTATCTAGGGTAAAGGAGGTGAGAAGGCAGAGATTCCTGCCTGGGGACATCCAGAAGGCACCAAAACTTAAGCGTACATTCACAGGGCTAGTCACCCCTTCAACTGCTGACAGCCCCTTCCCTGGGATCTCAATCGCAGGTTTGCACAAGGACATCATATGCAGACAGCTGCCAAGTCCTCTCCCTTGGAAACTCTTCAGGAGCTGAAAGAAGAATTGGCGGAGACAAGGAGAAACAGCCTAAGGAGAGGAGAAAAATAGAAAGAGCCAGGTGTCAAGGAGGCAAGGAAAGCATTTCGAGAAAGAGGGGGTGATCTGGAGGGCTGGAGAAGGAGCCAAAAGACGCTGGCATCCCTTACTGAGAGGAAGGCTCAACTAGGCTGGTGGGGTAGGGAGGATAGGGGTAAGTCCAGAGCCCGCTGGAATCCTTCAAACCTGCTTGTGTAACTAAGAAGGAAAAACCCTTTTCCTTCTCTCCACCTACAGGCCTTTGCTCAGGTGCAGCCTTCTTCTCCTCTAAGACCACTTCCTACCTGAAAAGTCCTCTCTGCCTTCACTGCCCAGCTTGATCTCACTCCTCCATGAAGCTGCCTTCTGGATGTCCTGCCTTCCGGATTGTGGGAGAGATTCCCAGTCCTCTGAGCTTAAGGCTGTGACTCTTGATGATAAAAGGCATTTCATTCTGCTGCATGTCACACTTATGTGTGGCCTATCCTGCCCTCAAGGCTGTGAAAGCAAGCTGCAAAGAACAGGAGGAGAAGGGTAAGCGACTCCTGCAGACCCACTAAGTGCTGCACCCAGGCTTGGGATGCTTTCTCTTTCTGCTCTGAAAGCCCTGAGGCTCTGAGAATGAGACTCAAAGCAGCCATCAGAGGTGAGATATGTCTTTTCCTTTTAACAATGTATGCTAAAACCTCACTCCCATTAAGATGGCTAGTATCGAAAAACAGAAAATGGCCAGTGTTAGTGAGAATATGGAAGATACATGCACGTTGAGGGTAATGAATGGCATAGCCACTACGGAAAACAGTGTGGTGGTTCCTAAAAAACATTAAACATAGAATTATAATACCAGCTGGGCGTGGTGGCTCACGCTGTAATCCCAGCACTTTGGGAGGCCGAGATGGGCAGATCACCTGAGGTCAGGAGTTTGAGACCAGCCTGGCCAATGTGGTGAAACCCCGTCTCTACTAAAATTAAAAAAAAAAAAAAAACCCACAAACAAACCCCACAAAAAATTAGCTAGTCATGATGGTGCACACTTGTAATCCCAGCTACTCAGGAAGCTGAGGCAGGAAAATCACTTGAACCTGGGAGGCTGAGGTTGCAGTGAGCTGAGATCACACCATTGCACTCCAGCCTGGGCAACAAGAGCGAAGCTCTGTCTCAAAAAAAAAAAAAAAAGAGGAAGAATTGAAGAATTATAACACCACATGATCCTGCAATTCCACTTCTTGGTAAATACCCAAAAGAGTTGAAAGCAGGGTCTTGAACAGATATTTATGCACCCGTGTTCATAGCAGCATTATTCACAACAGCCAAAAGGGAAAACCACCCAAATGTCCGCCTATGGCTGGATGGATAAGCAGAACGTGGCATACGTACACACAGCGGAGTATTATTCCAACTTAAAAGGAAGGAAATCCTGACACCTGCTTCAACACGGATGAATCTTGAGGACATTATGCTAAACAAAAGTGGCCAGTCATAAAAAGACAAGTATTGTATGATTCCACTTCTATGAGACATCTAGAGTAGTCAAATTCGTAGAGAAGGAAAGTGGAATGGTGTTTGCCAAAGGATGAGAGGAAGGGGAACAGGGAGTTATTGTTTTGTGGGTAGAGTTTGAGTTTTGCGAGATAGCAGAGTTATAAAACTGGATGGTCGTGACAGTTGCACAACAATGGAAATATATTTAACACCACTGAACTGAACACTTTAAAATGGTTAAGGTGGTAAAATTTTGTCGTGTATTTTACCATAATTTTTTTAAAAGCATGCAAAACTTGCATTCTACTCCATAATATATCCATCTGATCTTAGTATTAAAATGATTTATGAATTTTTTTCTCTTGAAATCTTTGATAACAATTGATGTTCCAGGAAGATGCCCTGTGTTTTTCCTGTCCCCGGGGAGGGAAGCCAGAATCCCTGTGTCCGCCCTTCTTCTGCCCTCCTCCCCCAGGTCCTCAAGTGCTCTCCTGCCTGACAAGAGTTTCCTCCTTGCCTTAGGGAGGCAGAACTTTGTTCTGCATTCTTCTATGCTGCTGACGGTGGGAACAGCCTACTCTGGAGGACCGGAAGGTTTTGAAGAGTAGGGCCAGAGAAGGAAAGCTGAGTGAAATGTTAGAATTAGACCAAATGCAGCTTCTTCAGCTGATGAATTCAGTTTCACAGAGCAATCTTTTTTCCCTTTCTTATAGAGTAGTGGCTGTCTCCTGGCTCCCATAACTGCACAAAACAAAGGAGCTCAATTCTGCTAATAATCGTGTTTCCATAATTGTGCATTGGTGTGCTGAGACTACCCTAGGATATGCCTGTGGCTTCCTACCCATCCACTCCCCTGTCTGCAATCTCAGGCTCTCCTCTCCACACATCATTGAAAGGGAATTCCTAAAACAGGGCCACTTAGCAACTTGATGTCCAACATAGCACTAGGCTCTATAGGACATAATTGGACAAGTCTGACCCCATCCCCTCCCTGCCTCCTATGGCTCCCCCTGTCTCTAGGTCAAATCTGAAGCTCCATAGCCTTGTTCCCAAGTCTCATCGCCTGCTGCCTTCCCAGTGAGCTAGAAGCTCACAGTTTCCCCCAAGCTTTTGGACATTCTGCTCTCTCCACCTGATTCTAAAATCACTGTCTTCCCAGAGCACCATATCTGCTCTCTTTCAGGCCTGAAGAACTTACTATCTTGTGCTTTGCTCCTCTGTTAAACTGTGGTCACCCTAAATCTGAGGCTGCTCACAGTTCAGCTATGGCCAGGTGTGGCATGTAGGAGACATTAACAAACATTCTAAAGAAATTAACTAGAGAGGGCTCCCTCGAAAGAGGTTCCCAGACTCACTGTGATTTTCTGTCCTCTGCAGACAGTTCCCAACACCTCACGGTTCAGGCCATGGGTGGCTGCCGGACCCAGCCCAGGCCAGTTTGAGTCCTTCTAGGGATTTCCCCAATAGGACCTGGGGAAAGAGGAACCGTCTGTCTCTTGGTATAAAGCTCTGAGCTGTGGGACACTGGAGAGTGGTCAGCACTGTGTCCTCTAGTGTGGAAGAAGCCATCAGAGGCAAAGCTGACACAAAGATAAGCAGAGATGAAAGACAGTCCTGGCTGCATTCAGCTATAGGGACGTGATCTGTTGACATGAGCAAGGCCTTTCCATGATTTCGTGACATGGAAAAGCCCAGTATCTTTTCAATAATTCCCTTTGGCCTTGGCCTAAGCTTTTTTGAGTGGGGTTTCTGTGACAGCCAAAAGCATCCTGACCATAAATGACAGAGTGAACCAAGTGTATTCTGACTTTTTATTCTGACTTTGGTCTTTGCTGCAAGGAACCCTAAAGTCAAGCTTGGAAGACTCCCTGTAGGAAGAGTCCCCAAATATACCTTCTCATCCACCTGGGGCAACAAGAGGCCTTTGCCATTGCCCCTGCTCCTTCTTCCCTGGACCCAATCTCAGATGCTTTCCTCCCTCTGCCTTCCATTCTAAAGAACTCCATGAAATTCCGAAGAACCTATCCCAACAGGCAGCTGCCAGTCTGTCCTCCTTGGTTCCAGGAGCTCAAGCCCAGTGGAGTTTCCTCCCCAAAGGAGTGGCCCATTCCTATTCCTCACTTGTCCCCTGCCCACGACTTTTTCCTGGGACCCCACAGAGACAGCCTGGCCAGCAAGGAGGGGTAACTGGAATGGAGGCCAGGGGTGGTTTTCACTTCTGGGCTTGGGTGAGGGGGTGGGGGAAGTGTTTCTCTCACTGTACAAGCCAAGAGCTGTTCAGAAGTCAATTTCAAGATCCCATCTCAGTGCTCTCTCTCTAGCCCCTCATCCTTAATGAGATGAGACAAGATGAGACAAGATAAGAGAATGGGCAAGAGTCAGCCCGGAGCACATTGGAAAACCCCTAGCTAGTGCAGAAGCCTCAGGCTCCAGTCTCAGCTCTGCCCTGACTGGCAGTACAAACACATGAAAGCCCCTTCCTCTCTCTGAACCTCTCTTTCTCCAGCTGTAAATTGAGGGGGTTGGATGGCTTCTAAGGGCGCTTTCAACTCTGATGGAGGAGGACTCCTCTGTTAGATGGGAAGGGAAAGGGAACAGGGAATTCCCAGGGGCAGGGGGAGAGAGGGCAGCATACACATCAGAGACGTACAGCCATGTGGCAGCCTGGGACCCCATTCCAGTCCTAGGCACAGCCAGAAACTGATGCTTGCCATCCTGCCCAAGGCCCCTCCCTTCAGACAGCAGGGCGATTTGGGGGTCCCCCCAGAGATAAGAACCTCATGGAGAAGGTCTCTGACTCCAGTGTCCTGTGGAGGTTCCTGCAGCCTAAAAAGGCCTCTCTCTTTGCATCCATCCCACCACCTCTCCTCCTCCCACTTCATCTTGGCCCCCTTTGATGACAGGGAAAAGAGACCCAGGGGACAAGCCCAAAGAACAGACACCTTTGAGGGAGGTTTCAGGAGAACAGGGTGACAGGGAAGCCATGGCTGGGAGTCAGGAGACCCTGGCCCACCGTGTGCCCCCCGGTTAGTCCCCTCCCCTCTCCAGGCCCAGGTCTGTCCTTTGCACAATGAGGGGCAGGGCCACAGGGCTGCTGAGAACCCTGCCTTCTGGAGCCTTTACCCTGGGAATGATTCTAGGTCCTCAGTCTCCCAGGGATGGTGCAGCTCAATAATCTCATTGTCTCATTTACCTGGGGCATTTGATGGTTAGCCTGAGAAAGAGAGAGAGAAACAGTCCCATCCACGCAAATTGTAATCCTCAGTCATCACAGGCAGCCAAGGAGCCAAGGACAAGACATAGGCCACTTCCCAGTGCCAACCCTGCCACCATTCCCACCATCCCCAGTGTACAGCCTGCATCTTTTATGTGTCCTGGAAAAGCAGGGTGAGGGGGGTTTGAATAGAAATAATCCTTTCCCTACTCCAAGGAAGGCATGGCCCAGCCAAGTCACACCTGTGCTGTGGGAAGAGGCTGAGATCTAAGAGTCAGCTGTGCTGCCTCAGGCCCCAGGGAAAGGAGAATGGGAGGAGTCAGGAAGGGGAGGCAGGAGGAAGGGGAGGCAGGAGGAAGGGGCTTCTCCTGGCTTTGCTGCACCCAGTGAGCCTCCTGGTGGATCCCCTGTAAGTTCCCTGGGTAAACACTCCCATATATAAATGTAGGCTCCAGTGCAGCCCAAGGGCAGAGAGAAATGATTTGTGGATTATGCACCTTCACCCTGCAGAGATAGATGAAGAGTTGTTTCTGCCCCAACTAGACCATGTTGGCCAAGGCCAGGGCCCTCTCCTGGGAACTCACCATGTCAAACCACTGAGATTTCAAGACTGTTACTGTAGTTAGTCCACCCTGACTAATACACAATCCCAAGTGAATGACTTGAGTCTGTTTCTTCTTAACTGCGGGTGGGTGCCTGAGGTTCTCCCTGGTAGTTTGAGGATCCCCAGGAAGCACCCCCATCCCTCTGCGGAGCCCCTCCTGTCTACCCTGGCTCTGCATGTCTGCACCCAACTCCATCCTTCTAACCCCCTGCATGTCATCATGTCCTCCCCCCAACTCTGCACCCCACCCTCTTTCATAGACCTTCACTTCCCCAAGAACAATTAGCCGCCGCCACATACATCACTGAAGGTCTGAGGTTAACAGCAGGGGATTACTTTACAGAATAAGAAAACCATTTAAAATTAAACATCAGGCATCACTCTTGCTTAAAGCTCATCTGCCAAACTTACCATGGGGAGTCTCTTATTGCTTTGGCTTCTGATAAGATTCCAGCCACTTTGTGTTTATTTATTCATTCAACAATTATTGATTGTGCACCTGCTGTGCTCAAGGCACCCCTCCTAAGTGCTAGGACATGTAGAAAACAAAGCCGTCCCTTCGATCACAAAACTTACTTTCTATTAGGAACAAAAGACAATAAACAAGCAAATAAACACATAATATACTGTCAGAGTTAAGAAAAAATTATTCAAAACATGAAAATGATTCAAAACATTGTCTAACAAGCTCCCTAATTGTCTTGTGACTTTCTAGGGCTGGGCTGTCCAATACGGTAGCCATTCACCACATTGGCCATTTAAGTTTAATTTATTAACTTTATATTAATTGTAAATTGGCCATTTACATTAACTTTATATTAATTACATGAATTAAATATATTTAATATAATAAATAAATATATATATTTTAGATGGGGTCTCACTCTGTCACCCAGGTTGGAGTGCAGTGGTATGATCTCAGCTCACTGCAACCTCCACCTCTCAGGCTCAGGTGATCCTCCCACTTCAGCCTCCTGAATAGCTGCAACCACAGGTGCTCACCACCACGCCCAGCTAATTTTTTGTATTTTCGGTAGAGTTGAGATTTTGCCGTATTGCCCAGGCTGGTCTTGAACACCTGAGCTGAGGCAATCTGCCTGCCTCTGCCTCCCAAAGTCCTGAGATTACAGGCATGGGCCACCATCCCCGGCTCATAAATTATATATTTACATATAATTTATATATAAATATTAAATTATTCATGTTATCTTAATATTATAGTAAAATACATATAACAATATATAATAGCTATTTACTTATATTGATTAAATATCTTAAAATTTAATTCAAACAACTAAAATTGTTTCTCAATCACACCAACCACATGTCAAGAGCTGAACAGCCACTTGGGGGCTAGGGACTATACTATTGTTTGGTGCAGATTTTCTTCATTAGAGAAAGTCCTTTTAGACAGGGCTGTTCTAGGAGAGTCACTTTGGCTTGACTTACTATTTACTATTGATTAGGACCCAGACTCTAGGAAGTTAAATGTTAACTTCAAGAAGATTAATAAGCTGCAAATGATTTTTGTCCAGCAGAGATGCAAATGGTTTCTATCTGAAGAAAAGATAACCCCAAAGGTTGCAGTTTTACTGTCCTATAGGACATTAACCAATTTAGTATCTAACTTTGCCATCTTATTCCAGCACTCTCTTTCCATTGATTACATATAGCAGGTTCTCATATCCCCTCTTGAACCAGCTCTGTCATCTTGCTGATTCCTCACTAATGAGTTAAATAAATCACTGACACATCCCGCTAGATGCTTCTATGAAAGTCATGTTTTTGACTCTTTGGAAATTATACTTTGACATCAGATAATGATCAGTGCTATGAAGACAATTTAAGCAGAGTGAAGAGACAGTGACCGTGTGTGATTTTAGCTAGTCAGGTCAAGGAAGGCCCTTTGGGGGAGGTGACCTTTGAGCAAAGACAGAAAGAAAGAAAGAAAGGAGCAGCCCTTTAGATATCCAGGGGTGCAAGTTCTGGCAGAGAGACGAGCAGGTGCCAAGGTGCGAAGGCAGTGTGGAAGCCGGATTGCACTTGGTGTTTGAGGCAAGCAGGAAGCGGTGTGGTCCTGGTGGATGATGAGGTATGGGACAGATTTCATAGGGCCTTGGGGTCCAAAGGAAGGACTCTGGATTACATTTTGGAGGTGCATAAGGTGGAGTATAACTACTCCCTCTCATACTCCAGGGGAGAGTTGAAGAACAGCCTTTGTGATCAGTCCTGCTGAGGTTCTCACTGGTGGGGGGTAAAGCTCCCTTTTACCCCCTTTCCCAGAGGGGTAAAACATGCTAAGTCCCAGAGGCTACACTGACAAGGCCATGTGGATGGGCCCCCAGAGGTGTGTGAGGCGGTAGACCTGGGAGTCACCTCCCCTGACCCTCTCTGCTCTCCCATCCTCTATCCAGAGCTGCCAGGGCCCCTGCCCATGCCCTGTGCCTCACCTAAAGGCTCTCAAAGGAGTTCTCTAAACAAAGAAAATTTTTTCTATACAGAAGATGACTTTTGCAGACCTTTCAGAAGGTTCCAAAGCAGCCAGCTTTCAAATGAGCAGTTTTGCTTCTCCTTCCAGGTAGGGAAACAGGGTTTTCACTAGATCTGGTAATAGCCCTGGGGCTTCAGAGCACTGGTGAGGTTGCTAGTATGGGTCTAAGGATTTAGGCAGGTAAAGTGAAGGCAGGAGGGGCTAAGTGACTGAGTGAAATGGGGGGAAGCTACAAAAAAGACCTAAAGGTCTCTATGAGGTGCAGAGGGACCCTGTGGCCAAGGAGTGGGCTGTGGCAGCTGAGGTTTCAGAGGTGGGGAGGCCTCAGGTGGTGTTGGTTCAGGCACTATGGTACTTGCACCAAATTCCAGCTCTCCTCACCTGCATGAGTTTGGGCAAATCGTGAGTCCTCGCTCATGCGTAAGATGACTAGAAGAATGGTGCTCTGGCTGGGTGCAGTGGCTCACACCTGTGATCCTAGCACTTTGGGAGGCTGCGGAGGGCAGGTCACCTGAGCTCAGGAGCTCAAGACCAACCTCGGCAACATGGCGAAACCCCATCTCTACTAACATACAAAAAATTAGCTAGGCATGGTGGCACACGCCTATAACCCTAGCTACAGGGGAGGCTGAGGCATGAGAATCGCTTGAACCTGGGAGGCAAAGGTTGCAATAAGCCGAGATTGCACCACTTCACTCCAGCCTGGGTGACAGAGCGAGGCTCCCTCTGAAGAGCTATTGGGAGCATCAAACAAGATGACACGTATGGAGAACTAAGAACAGGGCCTGGCGCGAGACAAGTGCTCCATTAACATTATCTGCTGCGATTGTTATCAAAGGTGATCCTGGACTGTAAGGCTGAAGTGAAGTGTTAAGTCCAGGGGACACTGAGGCCACCTAGGTTGGCAGCAGGATGCAGGTAGAGAGGAAGTGTGTGTTAAGTTGGGGCAGGAGGTGCCTGGGGGCCAACTGTTGGAATGATAATCTGCCTGTATAGGAACCCTCCAGGGCCATGTTCCAGGCTCCTAGCCCCCGTCCCCTCCTCCCAAACAGAGCCTAGAGTGAGGCTAAGCCGCTAGGAAGCCCTCAATGTCTCTCCACGTTACAGAGTCCTGAGCTTTGCATATGTTATGTCATCCCTAACAGCCCTGAAAGTCAAGCATGCTTCCCCCATTTCCTACCCCGATCCAAGGCCTGGAGTAAGTTGACCAGCCAGGTGTTAGGTGCTCAGCTAGGCAGAGACTTCTTCCCTGGCTTCACTCAAAGCAGTTTCCTATTTGTTGGTGTCCATATTGGACTTTCACTGAAAATGTTGCTTGACAAAAGGATGTCACAACTTAAAGAATAAACAACGAGGGAAAGATTGAAAAGGCCTAGGCTTGATCATCTTAAGGGACCTTTAAAACTCTGACCTTTCTTGGCCCCTTTGCATGGATACCTTCCAGGTGTCCCCTTAGCATCAGTAGGACCCAAAAGGTCTTTTCCCCCAAGGTCATTGTCGGGGATGCTCCTTTAGCCTCACACAGATCCATGAATAGGCAGAAATGCCTGGGTTTCTGGGGAGGCTCTGCTCAAGGGCAGAGGAAGGGAGGGATGGTGCTAGAGAGAAAAGAGAAAAGGCCATGATATTGTCCCTTTCTAGATCCTTCTTGTTCATTGCAATTCCGCAGTGGCCTACATGACACATTTCAGTGTACCCCCCACCCCCAGAGTGACGCACAGAATGCAATGATCCTTGAAGCTTATCTGCTCACCCAGGCAGATCACAGGACAAAGGGCAGGCAGGGGAGAGCCTGTTCTGCTTCACCCCACCTCACCCCTGCCCGGCTCTGATAGCTGTGTGCCCACTTGCACTGAACATGTGCCCGCCCCTTTCTCCCAGGACATGGAACCATCCCTACCCCGGGACACCTTCATTCCACTGCTCACTCTGCTTCCTCCCTTGGGAAGGGAATGTCCTTCTGAGCAAGGAACCTCCCAACCTCCACCTCTGAGTATGGAGATGACCTCCCTCCCCAACCTTATGTGAAGTAAGATTTTGGTTACTTTAAAATTTTTCTTTTCTGCACTTTTCTGTGTTGCTTGACTGTGTTTAATTAGCACGTATTACAAATATAAAGCAGTAAAGCTATTAATTTTTTTTTGAGACAGTCTTGCTCTATCACCCAGGCTGGAGTGCAGTGGTGTGATCTCAGCTCACGGCAACCTCTGCCTCCTGAGTTCAAGCATTTCTCCTGCCTCAGCCTCCCGAGTAGCTGGGATTACAGGCGCCCACCACTGTGCCCAACTACTGTTTGTATTTTCAGTAGAGATGGGGTTTCACCATGTTGGCCAGGGTTGTCTCAAACTCCTGACCTCAGGTGATCCACCCATCTTGGCCTCCCAACATGCTGGGATTACAGGCATGAGCCACAGTGCCCAGCCAAAGCTATTAACGTTACGGAGTTTTTTTTAATGGCTAGCCATACTTCAGAGTCCAGAAAGCTTCCTAAGCCCCTGCCAACAAGGACATCTACCTCTTCCAAGCCCTCAAAGCTTTTCATTTTCCCTCTCTCATGTCCCTGAGCACACCATCCATCTGCAGATATAGATGCTCTGTCCAGGTCATGGCTCCCTCCTGACCAGAGAATGTGCAGAGAACCAAAGTGGTGGATTTGTCTCCATTGCCCACACTCCCATAACCCTTTCAAAAACACTACAACTATAACCACCCACCAATACCATTACCACCCGCTCTTCCCCATTACCACAACTATTACCACCCTCCACCATCACTACACTCATCATCATCAACGCCACAATCACCATGGTCACCACCATCGTCACTACCGTCATTCCCCCTATGATGGGCCAAAAAATTACTCCCTTAAAGATATCCACACTCTAATCCCCAGAATTGGTACATTTTTTACCTTACATGGCAAAGGGGACTTTATCGATGTGATTAAGGGTACAGACGTTGAGATGGCGGGATTATCCTGGGTTTCCTGAGTGGGTACAATTTAACCACAAGTCTATGAGAGCAGAAAACCTTCCCTGTCTGTGTTCAAAGAGAGAGATGGACAGTGGGGGAAGGGTCAGACAGATATGACATCGCTGGCTTTGCAACATCGCTGGAAGAAGAAGGCCATGGGCCAAATAATGGGTGTAGCCTCTACAAGCTGGAGGACAAAAGGAAGTCGACTCTCCCTAAGAGCCCCCAGAGAGGAACTAAGCCTGCTGACACCTTGATTTTAGCCTAGTGAACCTATGTTGGATTTCTGCTCTACAAAACTGTAAGATAATAAATCTGTGTTGTTTTAAGGCCCTAAATTTGTGATAACTTGTTACAGCAGCAATAGAAAGCTAATACAACTTCCATCAACAATACCATCATCAATACCACCACAACCACAACTACCCATTGACACCACCACTACATCCATCACCACTACCAGCAAAACCTACCATCATCATAAGCAATGATACCACGATCACTGTCACCATACCCCCATCAACAGCAACACGTTTACTCCCAAAACACCCATCAGCACTATTCTTATTCCAATCACCATCACCACAGATAACACTCACCACCACCAGTATCTACATCATCAGCTCTGCCACTGATACACCCATCAACACCACCACAATCACCACTATCCATCAATGCCACCCAACAACAGAAACACTCACCTACGACCACCACCGCCCACCATCAGTACAACCACCCACTACCACCACTACACACAATATCACCAACACCTATCAGTACCACCCACCACCAACAAAAGCACCCCTACCAGCAGCACCAACACAACCTATCTACCACAACCATCATCACCACCAATGCACCCCCTCCACCTCCACCATCACCACAACTGAACATGCACACCATGAATGACTGGTTGGTTGGTTACATGAGTGAATGAATATGTGTCTGAATGAATACGTAAAGAAACAAAGAAAAAGCCTCAGAATGTCTATGAAAGAAAGTCCACTCCACCATTTGGTGACTTGTGGTGGGTAATATAGACGGATTTGTATGTCTGAATTTCATCTTTTGAACACCCTTTCCTTCTTTTCAACATACCCCCATCTGCTGCCTTCTGCAGCCACTACCCAGCACCCCCAAAACACAGTCATGGGGCAGCCTCCTCTAAGACTATGCCCAGAGGACTGGCCGGCCTTTGAGAGAGAGGAGCTGAAAGTCTGGGTTCCTGGTGATTGAAGGGGTAGTGAGCAGCCAGCTGCCGCTGAACTAGCTCCTGGGCAGTGAAATTGGACAGTCCAAGTGGCTCTGAAACAGCCTAAATAGGGAAAGAGAAGGGAGAAGCAGTACCATCCCTCCCCAAATTATGGGGATGTTTCTGGGGACTTGGCTGTTCTTGCTGCCTAAGAAACCTGTCTAATTCCCTCGCTGCCACTCAGCATGCAGCCTGGTGCTCTGGGGTCCATGACCGGGCCAGCAGATCCAAGTTCTACCTTCTAGCTCCTGCCTGATGATGGGCTCTCTGAGTCTGTCTCCCTGTCTGAGCAATGAGGAACTCAAGAAAGACGTGCCTGGTACCCTCCAGCTCTGATGGTCTGTAATTTCACATTTCTACCAAGAAGATTTCTTAGCTGGAGAAATCAATAGGTGAAGTTAGTCTCCTTCGGTGGACAATGCCTCTCTGACCACATCCTTGATGGCTGACATGATCCCAAAGTAGTGGTTAGGGATGAGCATCCAAGAAGGGATGGAACCCTTTATCTTTAGGTCCCATGGGCTCAGTCAGTCAGGAATTTCAAAGCTAGGAGAACTTTAGGGACCAGCTGACCCAAGCTCTGGAGTAAAAACCTCCTCAAGACCCCCAGCCAGGCAGCACCAGACCCCAGACCAGGGCCAGATGTTCCTGCCCCTCAGCACTGTTCTCAGAGCCCCACCTCATACTCCCATAGCTGCTGCAACCCACGCATTACCTGGAAAGCTGAAGCCCCAGGCTCCAGTGATGAAGCCTCAGGCCACGTCATCCTATGGGCCCCACAGAACCCAGAGCTGGCAACAGCTGCACTTGCCTTTGAAGGATTTCCCAGGGGCCCTGTGGAGGAAGGAGGCAGGCAGTTGTAGAGAGGGCTCTGTTATTGTAGTCTCCCTCGTCTCTGCTTCCCATCTCTCTCACGCACTGTCTGGTGGTCTCTTTCTGACTCTCTTTTGATCTCTTTGTTGGGCTTTGATCATTTTTCATCTCTATCTCTTTCTGGCCGTGTGTCTTTCTTTGTCCCTATCTCATTCTCTCTTTCTCTCCTCCTTCTCTCCTTTTTTTTCCTTTCTCCCCTCCCCCTCTCTCCCCTCCCTCATTCCCTCCATCAGTGATTTTGCTCTTGGAATTTCAAAGATAAGTGCCAATTTCAAGGTCATATTAATCCAGCTCTAGGGAAATCCCTATTCGTGAAGGAAAACATCCAGGAATTACAACAGTACTCATAAAACCCCACAGCCTGGTGAAGATGGACGGGCCCAGGCAATGAAAGCCCTGAGTTTCTTTCCCAGCGCTGCCCTGATTTGCTGGGTGGTCTTGGGAAGCCTTCTTGGGGCTTCAGCTTCTGCATCTATAAAACGAGTGGGCTGGAACACATTGATCTCAAGCGCCAGCTCCAGCTCTCTAGAACTGGAAGGATGCAGGTGCTCAGGCTCCGCAGCTCAGCCGGTGGGAATCCTATCTGTGGGCACCATCGACCACTGGCTTTTGTGGGCACTTGCTGGGGATTTTGCCAAAGGTCCCTGTGCCAGCAGGTGTCTGTGTGCTCAATGACTAGCATCTTGCACTAATCCTTGCTTCTTCCTGTTCCTTTGTTTAAATGTGGAACATACGTTGGGCTTGGCAGCAGATGAACCCAGCTGCCCTTCAAGAGGATCTATCTATGGTGGGTAGATTAAAGGAGGCCTCTCAAGTAGCCCAGCTGGGGAGGGAGACAAAAGCCAGAAGTCCATAAAGAAGCCATTCCCTTAGTCACCAAATGTATACTGAGCAGCACCGATGTGCTGACCACCTGGCCACATCAGACACTGCCCCCACCTTTATCATGAGATGAAGAAGAAAGAAAATGATCCTTCTCCGCAGAGTGAATAACATTCTGCAGGAATGTACAAGTAACAGCATTTTTATTTGAATGAAGAGATCAAGGGAAGCTTCCCAAGAAAGTAACAGCTGATCTGAGGCCCAGTGGGTGACATCACAGAATGTCACTGGACACAGAAGTGAGAGGAGGGCACACTCCATGCACAGGGATGGAATCAGCAAAGGAATCGGGGGCCCATCTCTTCAGGAGCAGATGAGTACAGCAGTTAGGTTGAGACCAGACTGTAGAGGGGTGTGGGATGTTTGAAAAGGAGGGTAAGGAGATAACCTTGATCCTGGGGCTTTAGAGAGCCACCGAAGTTTTTTCAGCAGGGGAGTGACAAGCTCAGATTTAAGCTTTAGAAAGATCCCATGGGTTGTTGTCAGTGTGGGGCTGAGATGGAATAGGAGAGACAGGAGGCAGAGACTGTCTGCAAGACCAAGAGAACACAGAGGCAGAAGCTATGCCAACTATCAGAACACATTTGTACATCAACGCACACACCCTAGGCTATAAGGTAGGGGAAGAAGCCAAGCGGAGTGAGTCAGAGATAGGAAATGAGGTCTGAGAAGGACTCGGCAAAAGAGAAACTCACCTTAGAAGACAAATCTGTCAAGGTAGGAAGAGAGCGAAAAGGGACTTCTCAGAAGCCCCATGAATGAGCCTCGTAATTGGAAGAGACCACAAGTGATAAATCGCCACACATCAGAGGAGGCAGGGGCCTTCAAGACTGAGAAATTCTTCATCTCCACTGTGCGGGTGGGGAAATCAAGGTCCAAAAACCATAAAGGACTTGCTGGATCCCCTGGCAAGCCTAGTCTACAATCAGGAGCTCCCACCTCCAAATTCTACAGTTCGCTCCCTCTCCCACATTTTGCCAGGTTAGTGTGTGGCCCCAACTTGCCAGGAAAAAGAATCAGAGCTGTAGAAAACACAGGAAGGTGCCTGGACTCCTAGCTCCTGTGAGAGCCAAATCTAAAGGCCAGAGATCAGAGGTAGGTGGGCCACGGTGGTATCAGGGGCTGTTCCGCCACTCAGAGTCCAGTGAGCACACAGCTAGGACAGGGGCCCTGATGGTGGAAAGAAAAGAGGGAGAAGGGGATATTTTGAAACAAAAGTTAGCAGGATCAGGTGACTGGGGCTCCAGGGTGAAAGAAAGCAAGAGCCTGGGCATGGACAAGCTCTGGCGATGTGGGACACACGTGGGATGATATTATCGTAAATGAACAAGGCCTGGTAGGAGGTGACCCCAAAGTGAGGGCACTAGCAGGATGAAGGGGGCAAAAGACAGAAGGATCTAGCCTGGAGTGAAATTATGAGCTTGGCTTGGACAGGCTGAGTTTGAAGTGATAGTGGGGCACCGATGGTGAATATCTTTGAGCCCTTACTCTATCACGTATCATGGGCACAGGGTATTTATGATATCTCCTTTAGCCTCCCAAGAGCTCCTTTGGAAGACATTATTCTTACCCCTACTGGACAGATGAGGAAACAAAGGAACAGAGCTATAAATAAATTTGTCCAAGGTTCCCAGCTTGCAAATTTCCAAGCCAGGCTGCAAACCCAGGTCGGTCTCACTGTGTTGCCTTCCATCACTAAGGAGCGAAAGAGAGGAGGTCATTGAAGAAGTCAAACCAGGTGAACACTGGAAAGTAGAGAGGAGAGAGAGAAAAGTGAGAGTACGGCAAACCCTGAGCAAGATGAAGAGTCCAGAGTGGAGTCACAGAGGGGCAGAGAGAGGTGGAGGGAGAATCAATAGAGTCTTTGTTACAGGAGCCGAAGTTGGAGAAAGTGTTCAAGCCAATGTCAAGGTGAGTCTTGAAGTCAATCCAAAGTGTCTTATGTGGTGAAGATGTAGTGATCACCATGAAACACAGAAGAACCTTGGGTAATGAGGAATCCCAGTGTTTCAGGGGCCCAGGCTGCCTGGAAGACTTAGAAGGGGCAGTTAGAGTGCAGAAGACAGTCTGGTTGGGGCAAGGTTAAAACAACCAATTCCGGCCAGGCGCAGTGGCTCACGCCTGTAATCTCAGCACTCTGGGGGGCCAAGGCAGGTGGATCACTTGAGGTCAGGAGTTCAAGACCAGCCTGGCCAATATGGTGAAACCCCATCTCTACTGAAAATACAAAAATTAGCCATGCACACCTAATGGGAGCTACTTGGGAGGCTGAGGCACGAGAATTGCTTGAACCCGGGAGGTGAAGGTTGCAGTGAGCCCAGATCATACCACTGCACTCCAGCCTGGGCGACAGAGCAAGACTCCATGTCGAAAAAAAAAAAAAAGAAAAAAGGAAAAAAAAGAAAGAAAAATCAATCCTGTGAGGACGTATCAGGAAACACACCCTGGAAAGAAAAACAGACAAACTGGACTTCAGCAAACTTAAAAATGTTTGTGCTTCAAAGGACACTATCAAGAAAGTTAAAAAGCCATGAAATGGGGGAAAAATGTTTTGCAAATCAGGTCTACAGTGGTTCATAATATTTAAGAAGCTTTAAAAACTAAACAATAAAAAACAAATACCCCAGTTACAAAGTGGACAAAGGATGTGAAGAAATAGACATTTCTCCAAAGAAGATATATAAATTGCCAATAAGCACATAAAAATTACTCAATGTTATTAGTCATTAGAAAACTGCAGGCTGGGTACAGTGGCTCATGTCTGCAATCCCAGCACTTTGGGAGGCCAAGGCAGGAGGATCTCTTGAGCTCAGGAGTTCAAGACCAGCCTGGGCAGCATAGTGAAACCCTGTCTTTACAAAAAAAATTTTTTAATTAGCCAGGCATGGTGGCACACACCTATAGTCCCAGTTACTTGGGAGGCCGAGGCAGGAGGATTGCTGGAGCCCAGGTGTTTGAGGCTGCAGTGAGCCATGATTGTGCCACTGCACTCCAGCCTGAGTGACAGAGCAAGACCTTGTCTCAAAAAAAAAAAAAAAAAAGCAAAAAAAAAGCAAATCAAAACCACAATGATATATTACTTCACACCCACTAGGATGGTTATAACCAGAAAACTATAACAAGTGTTGCTGAGGACACAGAAAAAGTGAAACTCTTATATAGGCAGATCCCCAAAAAGTTAACTACAGAGTTACCATATGACCCAGATTTTTTTTTTTTTTTTTTTTTTTTAAGACAGCATCTAGCCCTGTTGCCCAGGCTGGAGTGCAATGGCGCCATCTTGGCTCACTGCAACCTCTGCCTCCTGGGTTCAAATGATTCTCCTGCCTCAGCCTCCCAAGTAGCTGGGATTACAGGCACCTGCCACCACGCCCAGCTAATTTTTGTATTTTCAGTAGAGACAGGGTTTCACCATGTTGGCCAGCTGGTCTCCAACTCCTGACATAATCCGCCTGCCTTGGCCTCCCAAAGTGCTGAGATTACAGGTGTGAGCCACCATGCCTAGCCATGACCCAGACATTTTATTCCTAGGTATATACCCAAGAAAAGTGAAAACACATGCTGAAATAAAAACTTTTACACTAATGTTCACAGCAACATTATTAATAACAGCCAAGAAGTTGAAAGAATCTAAATGTATATCAACTGATGAATGGATACACAAAATGTGGTATATCCATACAATGCAATATTATTTGGCCATAAAAAGCAATGAAGCACTAACATATGCTACGACATAGATGAACCTTGAAAATATTATGCTACAGGAAAGAAGCCCGATAAAAAAGGCATCATATTATATAATTCCATTCACATGAAATGTCCAAAATAGGCAAGTCCATAAAGACAGAAATAAAATAGAGACAGCAACTAAATTAGTGGCCAGGCACAGTGGCTCATGCCTATAATCTCAGCACTTTGAGAGGCCAAGGCAGGCAGATCACTTGAGGTCAGGAGTTTGAGATCAGTCTGGCCAACCTGGCAAAACACCATCTCTACTAAAAATACAAAAATTAGCTGGGCGTGGTGGCAGGTGCCTGTAATCCCAGCTACTTGGGAGGCTGAGACAGGAGAATTGCTTCAACCTGGGAGGTAGAGGTTGCAGTGAGCCGAGATCATACCACCGTACTCCAGCCTGGGTGACAGAATGAGACTCTGTCTCAAAAAAAAAAGAAATTATTTGTTGCTAGGGGCTGGAGGGAGAGAGGAATGGGTAGTGACTGCTTAAAAGGTATGTCATTTCCTTTTGGGGCGATGGACATGTTCTGGAATTAAATAGTGGTGATAGTTGCACAACCCTGTGAGCATACTCAAAACCACTGAATTGTATACTTTATATGGCGAATTTTACGGCAGGTCAATTTTATCTCAAGAAAAGAGAGACAGAAAGCAGGTAGAAGTTTCCCAAGAAAATCTTGAGTGGTTGTTTAATCCCTCAGGGAACATCAGAGAACCCATTTAGGCTATCGAAAAGAAAAAAAACACATTTTATTCAACTGTTAAATTCTTTTGAACTTATTACTCTGAGGGCTAGCTTATGTTGCATTTTTTACTACCTTTTTATAAAGTTATACATTAATAATAGCTGGATTTATAGAGAAATGTCTGAAAGATTATCTGAAATGTAAACAGTGGCTGCCTCTGGGAGATAGTATCTTGTGTGATTTTAAATTTATTCTTTATGCTTTTGTGTATCATTTACATTTTCTTTATGCATATTTATCAACTTTATAATCAATAAAATTCATAAAGCTCTTTTTGTTTTTGAATATATATATATATATATATATATATAAAAAAATTGGATATGTTGAAAAAATGTTAATAGATAACTTTTAAAATTCTTTCAACTTACATGAAACCAATGTCATTTTGGTAGTTGCTCCCAAGGTGGAAAAACTGTCCAATTAGCCAAGTGATCACAATTCAGTTATTTTCTGAACACTGAACAAGGAGCTGTGTAAGATAGAAGGATGTTTAGGGCATGGTTCCTGCATTCAAGGGTCTTTTGATGTAGTAAAGGACCTCAGATGTGTAAATAAATAACTGAAAGCAAGGCAGAACATGAAAGTCTAGAACAGAGGCACCTGTAAGATGCCGCAGAATCCCTGAGGACACTGTGATTCTCCACTGAAGGATTCAAAATGGCAGGTCTGCTGCAGAGCTTGCCTTGAGGCTGAGTCAGATTTCATTGTGTGGATGGCAGGAGGGACAGGCAAGAGCCAAGGCCAAAGGGGAGGCATTTCCAAGCCCTCCCACCCTTCCTGTCCCTGTCCACCTCCACACTCCATGCCCTAACCTTCCGGAGCTGCTGATTCTCCTGGGCACAGGCCTGGTCTTACACCTTCACCTTGCTGCGCACGTGGAATGCACATTCCTCCTTCATCACCTAGCTCACTCCTTCTGTTCCCTCCAAGACTGGGGTCCCTGTCACTCTTTCAGGAGGCCTCCTTGACTGAAGAGGTTGAGTTCAAAGCCTCCCGCCCAGGTTCTGACAACACACTGAGTCGCCAACACTGGTGCACTCTACCCCCTGCACTTGAATGATCTGTTTGGGCATTTGTTTCCTCCATCAGATTGTGAGCTCCATTGAAGAAAGGCTGGAGCCTGGCACAGAAGGTTGGTGCCCAGTAAGTGCTTAACTAATGGCACATGCACTGTGGCTAGGATGTGCAGAGCAGGAACGTAGCCACAGCTCTGTCTGACCGATACACTCCCCTCCTCCCTCCTCCTTCTCCTCCCCCTCCCACCTTCTCCTCCTCCTCCTTCTTTCCTCCTCCTACTGTTCTTCTTCTTGATTTTTTTTTTTAGAGACACTGTATCACTCTATCAACCAGGATGGAGTGCAATGATGTGATAATAGCTCACTGCAACCTCCAACTCCTGGGCTTGAGTGACCCTCTTACCTCAACCTCCTGAGTAGCTAGGACTACAGGCGCATGCCACCACACCTGCCTGGTTTTTTGTTTGTTTGTTTGTTTGTTTTTGTTTTGGTAGAGAGAGGATCTCAGTATGTTGCCCAGGCTGATCTTGAACTCCTGGCCTCAAGCGATCTTCCCATCACAGCCTCCCAAAGTGCTGGGATTATAGATGGGAGCCACCGTGCCTACTCCTTCTCCTCCCTTCTTCTAAGAGTCTATTCCGCCGTCCTCCTGACCACAGAGTCAGGCCAGTGATGCTGGCTAGGTCAGTTACAACTCCCCAGCCCCCAGATTTAGTAACCGGTCCAGGGCTGCACTGACCCAATCCAGGCTAACCAGTGTCCCTCCTCTAGAGCAGCAGGGAGAAAACACTTTCCTTGATGAGGAGTTAGACTGATGAGGGCCACATTCCTACTATGTAGAGAAAACCTGTCTTCAGGAGAGAATGAGGCCATTACACAAGACAAGCAGAAACGGGGAGATGACAGTTGCTCATGGTTTTGGAGACCCTAGTTTCAGTCTCAGAGGTCCCCAGAGCTGGGCTGGTTCAGGCAGGCCTTTCTCCAATTCTGTGTCCTATGCCAGGACCTGTCAGTAAATATCCCTGTGAGTATAAGCTAGGGAGCTTGGGTCACTTATAAAAAGAACATCGCTTTCCAGTGCTGGAGTCCTCGGTACAATGTACATCTGGAAATGTCAGCTGAGGCCAGGCTGGGGAAGACTCTAAATGCTGTCCTTGGGGGTTTAGAGTCTATATTGCAGGTGCAGTTAAAGCCTCATGACAGAACACCAGCAACATGTGAGTTTCAAATCAGAGGGGAGGCAAGACTGGAAGCCAGTTGGAAATGCAAAATAAAACCACCTCCATATATCACAGAGTTCAAGGAGAAAGAAGATTGAATAAAACTCTGATTTTGTTATGTAGGAAAGAGCAGCAGGGCTTGTGATGAATGGGGAAGTAAAGGAGAAAGGTGATCATGTCGAATAAATAGTCATTTCAGAAACACAGCCAACAGCTCTGTGTGCAAACATTAGTCACTCATACAAATGGGATCTCAGGGGTTTTATAAACAAGCAAGCTGTTGCCAACACCCACATCTGGCAGATGATACATCCATCATGTGTAAATACTTCACGTAGCATCGATTACCCTGATCAATTTTAGGCATCTATCATTTTCCAGACCTGCAACCCAGCACAGGGAAATTGCAAAGAAATACAATACAATGCTCTGATCATTCTACCGCTATGGCTCATAGGAAAACAGTGAATAAATCCATGGCAAAACTCAGGTGGTTTTCAAGGCATGAAGAAAAAAATTATTATCGTGTTTTTCCTTAGAGTTTGTTCTTAACTAGATCAAGATATCACGCTTTTCAAAATTCACTAAGAAAACCACCCTCATCTTGGGAGGGAGAAAGATGGATAATGATACACAAGAAATATGGACAAGAAATGCTTGACACTGGGAGCTGCAGTCCTCGACTCTGATACTGCAGTGTGACATGTCCTTAAAGGAAGAGGAAGTAAGACTAAGAAGGCGGAAGGCAGTAAGGAGTTTACGTTTTATCTTGGTAGGTGACAGGGAGCCATAAGAGTTTTCTTAAGCAGGAAAAAGACAAGGTCAGAATGGGTTCAGAAAGGGCCTTTCTAGACAGACATGGAAGGCACTATGGCCCCTGGATGTGCAGAGAAAGTCAACAGACTTGTAATTGTCAGTCAAGACAGATGATAGGCTGGGTGCAGTGGCTCATGCCTGTAATCCCAGCATTTTAGGAGGCCAAGGCGGGCGGATCACTTGAGGCCAGAAGCTCAAGACAAGCCTGGCCAACATGGTGACACCCCGTCTTTACTAAAAATATAAAAATTAGCTGGCCATGGTGGCACGTGCCTGTAATCCCAGATACTCAGGAGGGTGAGGCAGGAGAATCGCTTGAACATGGGAGGTGGAGGTTGCAGTGAGCAGAGACTGCGCCACTGCACTCCAGCCTGAGAGACAGAGTGAGACCCTGTCTCAAAAAAAAAAAAAAAAAAAAAAAAAAGAGACGATGGGAGGATGGGAGTTTGGAGTGGGATGTGAGTGAGGAGGCATTAAGACTGAAGTGGTGGCTGACGCCCTGCAGTGAGGCAGGAGAGAAGAACAGGCATCTACCAAGGATGGACTGTGATGACTGGTCCCTTACCGGGTGCCAGGCACCAGGCACTACTAGTAGCACTTTCTCCACTGGATCTGCTTTAGTCCCTCCAAACAACCCTGCAGGGTACTTGGGTATTCCCAAACGCACATATGACAGAAAAGAGCCTCAGAGAAGTTGAGTAGCTTGCTTAAGGCCACACAGGTTTTTTGGACACAAAAGCCCGAGTCCATTTCAGTATGAAACACGACCTCCTGATGGACATGATTTACCACTTTCAACTTTTATCAGGTAGATGCTGAGGCTCAGAGATTTTTTAATGCACCGACTTTTCCCCAGCTGGTGAGAGCCCCAGTCTCAGTGTGAACCAAGCTCTCATTCCCACCTCACCTCCCCGAACAGCTGATCCTGTTAAATGAACCTCTGCTCCATCACAGTGAGGAGCTCCCGTCCTATGCATTGTTAAGCCACAAAGTCTTATTGGGGATGTCTTAAAAGGAATCTTGGAAGGGCCTGGGGGAGGACATGGGATAGGTGTGGGCTTCTCAGAGCCCAGAATATGCTCTTCCTCCTGTCCAGGAGGAGCCTCCTCACCTTTGAAAATAATTCCTCCAAAGTCTCCTAAACCCCAATTCTCTATCCAGCAGCCCTGGCCTGTCGTGGTAATTTCCAAAGCCACTGCCTTGAAGGCTCACAAATCCTCTGTTCATGCTCAGACATATAAATTGCATTAGCAGAGAGAAGAACTATGCATCTGGTGGGGTGATGGCTGAAGAGAGAAGGCGCTGAGCTCAAGTGCACACACGTGAGCACACCCAGGCCTGGCCCCTCTCCAGGGAAGCCCAGATGGGAAGGATGGGCCTCTCCAGGCCTCTCCAGCCTGGGATGAAGGAGCCTGTTTCCCTCTTAAGAGCGTCCTAGGTATGGGGGCAATGGAGCTCCTGAACTAGCAAGCACACATACACACCCCCGGGTCATTGGCACTGGAATTAAGTTCACTCAAGAGGCTGAGCTCAGAGGGTCTGCCGGAGTGCGTGGGGTAAACATCTTTTCCTGCAGACAGCCCAAAGACTCCAGATATTTTTCTTCTTTAATGCTTCCAGCTAGTCATTAGCATTCCAATAAACAAAATATTTTTCAATCCATGCATATTTATCTTGAATCCTTGCTCTGTTTGGGGTTTTGGGTTAGATTCTGAAAACCCAGACCTGAATTGGAAATAGTCCCTGATCTCAAGTTCTCAATCTAGAGGGAAGGCGGACAGTGCACACGGTCAAGGGCTTAAGAAAAGGGCTCTGGGCTCGGCGCGGTGGCTCACGCCTGTAATACCAGCACTTTGGGAGGCCAAGGCGGGAGGATCACGAGGTCAGGAGATCGAAACCATCCTGTCTAACATGGTGAAACCCCGTCTCTACTAAAAATACAAAGAAAAAAAATTAGCCAGGTGCAGTGGCAGGCACCTGTAGTCCCAGCTACTCAGGAGGCTGAGGCAGGAGAATGGCGTGAACCCGGGAAGCGGAGCTTGCAGTGAGCCAAGATCTCGCCACTGCACTCCAGCCTCAGCAGAGTGAGACTGTGTCTCAAAAAAAAAAAAAAAAAAAAAAAAAGAAAAGAAAAAAAGAAAAGGGCTCTGGGTGGGTTTGGAGACAGACAGGGCTGGGTTCAAATCTCAGTCCCCACACTCACTGGTTCTATGGTCTTGGGCAAGTTATTTAAATAAATGAGCCTCTGTTTATTCACCCATGAGGTAAAATCTATCCAGCAGGGTTGGTGTGTAGGGGAAGAAGGAGGGAGACAGGGAGAGACACACAGAGACAGAAAGAGAGAGAGAACCCAGCACAGAAAAATATATGAAGGTTTCCTAAGGAGGTAAGTGGGTAGGCTTTTTGTCTTTTGTTTTTGAGACCGAGTCTTGCTCTGTCACCCAGGCTAGAGTGCAGTGGCACGATCTTGGCTCACTACAACCTCCGCCCTCTGGGTTCAAGCGATTCTCATGTCTCAGCCTCCTGAGTAGCTGGGATTACAGGTGCCTGCCACTACGCCTGGCTAATTTTTGTATTTTTAGTAGAGACAGGGTTTGGCCATGTTGGCCAGACTGGTCTCGAACTCCTGACCTCAGATGATCTACCCACTTCAGCCTCCCAAAGCGCTGGGATTACAGGTGTCAGCCACCACGTCTGGCCAGGGTAGGTTTTTAACATATAAAAAGCCAGGAAAAGTCATTGCTAGGGACTCATGGAGAGGTTGGGGCAAGGGAGAAATAAATGAAGCACAGGATTTTTAGGGCAGTGAAACTCTTCTGTATGATACAGTAATGATGGATACATGTCATCATATATTTGTCAGACCCTATAGAGCTAGGCACAGTGGCTTAGACCTGGAATCCCAGCAGTTTAGGAGCACAAGGTGGGAGGATTGCTTGAAGCCAGGAATTCAAGACCAGCCTCAGCAACATAGCAAGACCCTGTCTCCAAAAAAAAAAAAAAAAAAAATTTTAATTGGCAAAGCTTGGTGGTGCACACCTGTAGTCTTAGCTACTCAGGAGACTGAGGCAGGAGGATCGCTTGAGCCAAGGGTTCAGGACTGCAGTGAGCTATGATCATGCCACTGCACTCTAGTGTGAGTGACAAAGTAAGACCCTGTCTCAAAACAAAAATCTATAGAATGTATAATACAAACAGTGAATTTTAAGGTAAACTATGAACTTAATAATAATGTACCAACATCGGTTCCTGATTCTGACAAACATAACACATTGGTTAAGATGTAGATAATAGGGGAAGCTGGGATGCATGAGTTGTATATGTGGGAACTCTCAGCAAAAACAAAGGCAGGTGCCAGTGACATGCGGCTGGAGGCTAAAGTACCTGGAAAACAGTGAGCCTGGAGAGGTGGGTTGAATATCATGTTAAGGTGTCCATGCTTTATCCTGAAACTATGGAGAAAGGGCAAATATTTCATCAAGGGGCTTAACATGATCAGCTTGCAGTTAGATTGCTAACAGACAGACCTGAAGCTATAACAGAGGCCAGGACAAGAAATTATGAAGATCTGAGTGAAGATGGCAGCAATAGATGGAGAAAAGGGGCCAGATGCCAGAGATATCCTACGGTTGTCCTGGATGGGACCTGGTGTTTGGTTGATTGATTGATTGATTGCCATGAGTGGGAGAGGAGAAAGAGTCTAGGAGAGTGCCCAGGTTTCTGGTTTCCCAGCTAGGTGGGTGGCAGAGCTCTGGAATGAAGAAAGGGCAGATCTGAAGACATGATAACCCCATCAGCTCCAACACAACTTTGAGAGAACATCATTGCAGGTATTGTGCAAAACACTTCCTGGAATTCTTCCAACCTGGCCCTTTCTGGGGACTCACTACCTACAGACATATGCCCAAGTTTGCATTCTTGGATGCTCAGCCTGTTACTGAGATCTTTTCAATGCTTGAGCTGAGGTCTCTTTCTCTGTATCTTTGACTACTGGACATACCTCTGCTCTGGGGGGCCTCACAGACCTGCTCTCTCTGCCCCAGGGCAGCCCTTTAGAGATCTGCAGACAGTGCTCATGTCTCCTGTCTCTCATTCTTCAGCTGAACAGCCCCAGCCCTCCCCTTGCTCTAACACAAGATAGTTTCACCACCCTAAACATACTCCAGGACACAAAACCTCATGAGTGTCTGATGCAGCCCAGAGTATCTACTTCTAGACATTATTTCACTCTGAATGCCCTCTGAGTTTGTCTTAATCCCAAGGGCGGCTCTTCATACCTCCTACCCATTTCTTTTTTTTTTTTTGAGACGGAGTCTCACTCTGTTGCCCAGGCTGGAGTGCAGTGGCGCAATCTCAGCTCACTGCAAGCTCCACCTTCCGGGTTCACGCCATTCTCCTGCCTCAGCCTCCCAAGTAGCTGGGACTACAGGTGCCTGCCACCACGCCTGGCTAATTTTTTTTGTATTTTTTAGTAGAGACGGGGTTTCACTGTGTTAGCCAGGATGGCCTCGATCTCCTGACCTCGTGATCTGCCCACCTCAGCCTCCCAAAGTGCTGGGATTTCAGGCATTAGCCACCGCGTCCGGCCCCTCCTACCCATTTCTATCAACTCAGCCAGCTGAGCACTTCTCTCATTTACGTCTGTTGAACCAGAATTCTGCATCTGGCTTTTTTGCATCAAGAATAGGACTTAGGGCTGTGCACAGTGGCTCACGTCTGTAATCCCAGCACTTTGAGAGGCTGTAAGGAGTTCGAGAGCAGCCTGGCCAACATGGTAAAACCTCATCTCTACTAAAAATACAAAAAGTAGCTGGGTGTGGTGGCACATGCCTGTAGTCCCAGCTACTGGGGAGGCTGAGGCAGGAGAATCGCTTGAACTTGGGAGGCGGAGGTTGCAGTGAGCCGAGATCATGCCACTGCACTCCAGCCTGGGTGACAGAGCAAGACTCCATCTCAAAAATAAATAAATAAATAATAAAAATGAAGGGATTCAGCATGACATCAGCAAACTATCAGAGTAAAGACTTCTGAGAATTGTCTGCTCCATACAAGCAATGGAAATACTGCCCAAAACTGGCAGAATCAACGTTTTCAGAACTCTGAAAATTAACCAAAGGCTTGCACAAAATCCAGGGAGCATTTATTCAGAAAAGCATATATCCTTTCAAAGATGTAGCCATGAATGTTCATAGCAACATTATTCATAATAGCCCAAAAGTAGAAAAAAACCAAATGTCCAACAGCTGGTAAAGAATAAATAAAATGTGGTAAATCTATACAGTGGAATATTATTAATCTTTCAAAAGGAATGAAGGCCGGGCACAGTGGCTCACACCTATAATCCCAGCACTTTGGGAGGCTGAGGCAGGCAGATCACTTGAGGTCAGGAGTGAAAAACCAGCCTGGCCAACAAGGTAAAACCCCATCTCTACTAAAAATACAAAAAATTAGCCGGGCATGGTGGCACATACCTGTAGTCCTAGCTACTCGGGAGGCTGAGGCAGGAGAATTTCTTGAACCCAGGAGGTGGAGGTTGCAGTGAGCCGACATCACACCACTGCATTCCAGCCTGAGTGACAGATAGAGACTTCATCTCAAAAAAAAAAAAAAAAGACTCAATTGTGCTCTTTGAAAAAGGAAGCTTTATGTATATCAATTATATCTCTTTTTTTTATAATTCCTAGTAAACTAAAATTACAAATAAAACTAAAACTAAAAAGCAACAGCACACACATACACACACACACACACACACACACACACACACACACACACAAACCATATATGTTCCTCTCCTGTTTAAAGCTCTTCAGTAATCCCCAATTGCCCTTAGAATGGCTTTTGGGTTTTGTTGAGGTTTTTTGTTGTTTGATTGTTTGCTTGTTTGTTTTTTGAGACAGGGTCTCCTCTGTCACGCAGGCTGGAGTGCAGTCATGTGATCATAGCTCACTGCAGCCTCAACCTCCTGGGCTTAAGGGATCCTCCTGCCTCAGCCTCGAGTAGCTAGGACTACAGGTGTGCTCCACCATTCCCCCCTAATTTTTTAAAATTTTTTTGTAGAGATGGGGTCTTGCTATGTTGCCCAGGCTGGTTTTGAACTCCTGGCCTCAAGCAATCTTCCCACTTCAGCCTCCCAAAGTGCTGGGATTACTGGTATGAACCACTGTGCCTGACTGCTCTCAGAATGAATAAGACCCTGGATGACCTAGTTCCTGCCCACCTCTTCCCCCTCACCCACGTCTGTCTCCCTGTTTTGTGCTGAAGCAAGGCTGGCCTCTGTTCTGTCCTGGTACTTGTTCCCCCTGCCTGAGACCCCCTAGTTTGCAGGGCTGGTCCATTCTCAGATGCCAAGTCTAAGCTCACAATTCCCCACAAGCACTCTCACTATCCCCAGTGTGCCTCCCTCAGTCGCTCTGCCTCATTAGCCTATTAGTCCACACCACAGCACTCCATATTCATCATTTATTATTTGCTTCTCTGTTATCTTTCTTCCCACCCTAGAAGGTAAACCCCATGAGAACAGAGACTTTGCCTGTCTTGTTCACTGTTAGCATAGGGTGGACACTCAATACATGCTTTTTGAATGATGAATAAAGGCAATGTTCTCTCAAAGTTTGTTGTCATTTGGAATTCAATATTTTCTAATATTTTCTTCTATTCCCTGCAATATATCTCTGAGAGAGACAGTTCCTCTGGTTGGTCCTCTGATTAGGAACTTTTGAATCACATGAAAGATATATGATGATATTTTTCTGTCCATGCTTCATTAGGGGTTTTGGATAGCACACTAGCCTGATAATGGGATATTCAGATCCCCTATTGGAATGGTTCAGGCCAAGAAAAATAACTACTATCCTACTGGCCACATTAGTAGCTTGAGAGGCACCAGGAGAGACTGGTGCCCAACAGAGGCCTCGCCCTCCTGGCTGAATGACTCATTTTCCCTACTCATGGATGCAGATTAACATGGGCTGCCGACCGTGTCCCTGCCCGTGGTAGGCTCAAGCCATGCTTTGCTTTGCAAGCTGTTGAGGCCAAATGTGATCAGGGAGGAAGGGCTCATCTTGGGTGTTAGGCAGGAGGCTCTGCTGGATATTTTCGAGACAGTTTTTTCTTTTTTTTATTATTTATTTATTTTGAGACAGAGTCTCATCCTGTCACCCAGGCTAAAGTGCAGTGGCATGATCTCAGCTCCCCGCAACCTCACCTCCCAGGTTCAAGCAATTCTCCTGCCTCAGCCTCCCAAGTAGTTGGGATTACAGGCATGTGCCACCACACCCGGCTAATTTTTGTATTTTTTAGTGGAGATGAGGTTTCACCACATTGATCAGGCTGGTCTCGAACTCCTGACCTCAGGTGATTGCCTGCCTCGGTCTCCCAAAGTGTTGAGATTACAGGCGTGAGCCACCATGCCCGGTCAAGACAGTTTTTTCTTAGCCAGTATTGGCCCTTTCCTCAACCCAGACTTCCATACAATTTCTCATGCAAATGTCTTCATTTCTCAGGCACATAGATGACACCTACTTAGATTGTTTCCATTCTTTTCACTAACACCCACAATACTCCCTTCTGTACACATCCTTGTGCACACATTTTTGCACTTTTTTTTTTTTTTATTACTGATCCCTGTGGAGCAGGGCTAACTCATAGGCAGTGTACCCAGAGTCAGCACATTTTTGCATTCTTCTCTGTTTACTTCCTCAAATACATTCTTAGAAGTAAAATTATGGAGCTGGGTGCAGAGGCTCATGCCTATAATCCCGGCACTTTGGGAGGCAAAAGTGGGAGAATCACTTGAGCCCAGGAGAATCACAAGACCAGACTGAGCAACATAGTGAGAACTCATGTCTACTTAAAAAAATTATCCAGGCATGGTGGCATGTGCCTGTGGTCCCAGCTACTCAGGAGGCTGAGGCAGGAGGATCACCTAAGCCCAGGAGATTGAAGCTGTAGTGAGCCATTATCACACCACTGCATTCCAGCTCCAGGCGACAGAGCAACATCCTGTCTCCAAAAGAAAAAAAAAAAGTAAAATTATTGAGTTAAAGAGTATTCATTACAATTTGAGACATATGACCAAATTGACCTCCAAAAAGGGTAAACCACTTTATGCTTTATCCAGTAGTATACCAAGTCCTGTTTTTGAAGTCATGTTCCAAAAACTTTTTATTCCCAAATCCCACCTCACCATATTTCATTTCTCAGAGAGAAGATGAAAGTAGACTCCCCGTCTCACTGGAGAAATTTGCTGTAGAAATCCATCCTTTAAGAGAAAAGCACTGGTGTTGGCTGGGACGGGTCCTCACCTCCTGAGGTCGTTCTGGGGCAAACAGAACTGGTATCTCAGACAGACACTCTCCTTCCAGGTGGAAGTGCTCTGAGCCGTGGCTGCTGTAAGTGCTTAAGACAGCAGAGAAGAAGTTACCCGTGACATGACACAGCCTTGGTGCAATTCCTAAACATTCCTGACACCTCCACAGAGCTGCCTGGAAAGGAACCATGCCAGCAGCAAACTGTTCTCTCAGTGCCCTTCCTCACCTCCCCATTCCCGCACTTTGCTGGTCGAAGTCAGACTCATCTTTAGTCAAAGAAAGGCATTCTTCAGCAACAGCATTGTCTTCCATCAAAATGGCAAAGATTTAAAAATGAAAATAGTGGTGGTGGGTGGCAGTGAGATAGAGGAGCTCCTACAATGTGAGTGGGAACATAATGGGCCAGTAAATACCCAAGGCCATAGAAATGTTCACACTCTTCGACCCAGCAGTTCCACTCCTCAGATTCTGCCCTAAGGGAATACCCAGATGCCACCACAGGTTTTATGTACTTCAATGCTCATTTCAGCATTATTCATAGTAGCAACCAATTTGGAAACTACCAAAATATCTGATAATGAAGTGATTACACAAACCCAAAGTACTGAATATTAAACAGCCATCAAATATTGTATTTTTAAAGAACATGTAATGGCCTAGGCAAAGACCCTTGACGTGTGAAATGAAAGATGAAAGTGCTGCCGAATTGTCTATATACAATGACTTCAATGTTGTTAAACATAGATACGAAGCCTGGAAGGATACTCCCTCAAATGTTTACTGTCGTTGCTCTGGATTAAGGATAGTTATAATTATCTTCTTTGTCCTTTTTTTTCTCAAATTTTCTTTTAGGCGCATATATTTTTAAGTTGGAAAAACGTATTAAAAATAAACAGTCCTATCACATCTCAAGGCTCAGCTTAAATTATACTTTTCCCTGGAAACTCTCCCACACGGGAATGACAAGCATTACAAAGATGTGGCCATTAACACGACAAGTTCCTGTAACTGTCAGACCTGGTCCTTGAACCCTGGCCCCTTGCGCTTCTTCTGTGGCATGCATCTCAGCCTTGCTTGAGTTTCTTAATCAAGTGTCTGCCCCACCAGCTGCCCTCTCTTCAGCCTGTCCTCCAGACAAGGACCAGAAGAGCAGGGACGAGTCTTTTTTTTCTGTTTTTCAGAAAAAAAGTGAATGTTTATCAAATTTGGTGAATATGATAAATCAGATTGTCCAGAGAATAAGAAATTCTAATTGTATGCAGAAAATCTAAGTCAGTGGAGCTCATATTCCAAGGTAAAGGGATGCCAAGATTAGGGGAGCTCACACCTGTAATCCCAGCACTTTGGGAGGCCAAGGCAGGAGGATCACTTTAGCCCAGGAGTTTGAGGCTGCAGTGCGCTATAATCATGCTGTTGCATTCCAACCTGGGTGACAGAGCAAAATCCTGTCTCAAAAAAAAGGGGGGGGTGGGGGTGGAGGGGGGAATGCCAAGATTAAGATCAAGACCTCTGCTTCTGAGTATAGCCAAGAGAAAGAGCTCAGCCAGGCCCTCAACATCAGTGCCAGCAACAGCCCCTCTTGCTCACCACATTTTACACACACTTGCTTTCTTGCTTGGTCTCTGGGTCATGGCAATCTCCTTCCAACCTCAGGGCCTTCACGCCTGTTCCCTTTGCATGGAAGCTTAGCCCCCTTCTAGCTGGGCATCTACTTATTCTCTGTCAAGTTTCAGCTCCATAATGGGCTGGTTAGGTCCCTCCCCATAGCTCTATTCTCTTCCTTGTACCATTACCACAATTGTCATTCTGCATTTGTGTGAACATTTGTTTTACGCCCACCTCTCCTGCTTCACTGTAATCTCCAGAAAACCAGGTCTGTCTTGTTTATGGCCGGTACCCGGCACCAGCCGCAGAGCTTGGCATAACCGTGGGCTGAATAAATGAGGTGAGATCAATTACATGGAAAGGACCTAATGCTTAGTAGGTATTTTTCCACCATTTTTCCCCTTCCTCAGATCTCAGAGCTGATCCACCTCCCTGTGTTCAAGCTGATGATCTGATTGTGGCATCAGACTTTTAGAGCTGACCGAAGCCAAGAGAGGCTACGTGGCAGCACTTAGCTCAGCCTGCTTTGCTGGGGCTGTTTATGGAGGGAAAGCACAGGATTCATTTGGCTCTAATCAGGTTAGGATCAGAGCACAGGGACTAGGAAAGGAATGCTGGGCGTAAGATCCAGACCATGTGACTGGGGTGACCTGGGCACAGTCATGGGGAGGCCACACTAGCAGAGTCAGGTTTTCACACTGTAGCCCAGCTGGGGTACACAGCTTGTTTGCAGTAGAGTAGGGCCCAAAGCCCAGGCTCCTGACTCCTGGCACAGTGCTCCAAAGAGCCAACACATGGTGTTGGAAACAATCCCAGGCTGGGCTCTGTTTTCCCACTGCCCAAATCTCTTCCAGGGAGCAGGTCTTGGTATGGCAGAAGGGAGTGGATAAAGCCTTTTCTACAACTCTTTATCACCAGGGCAGGAGATCCAGAGCTGCTGCTACCTTGGGTCCAGCTCAGTGCAATGACAATATTCCTTACATCTTTACACTGCTTTGTTATCTCCAAAGCATTGTCACTTTTGTTTTTCAGCCTCACAGTAATCCTGTGAGGATAGGCAAGCAGCTGATTAACCTCTTATCACGCATGAGAAAACAGAGGCCCAGAGGGGCGTGTCAACTTGCCCAGACCTTCATAGCTGGTCAGTGGAAGAGCCAAGCCCGGAAGCCAGGCCTCCTGACTCCCAGTCCAGAGTTGGTTCAGTATTTTTCACACACAACTGTGACACTCAAATCCGTGTGGTTTCTTGTAGCACTTTCTAGTCTGTGGCATCTCAGCACTGTTGAGGATTAGACGAACAGCCAGGGGAGGAGATGATGGGGTGATGGCTGTGCTGGCATGGCCTCCCCATGGCTTTGGCTGTGGCTGGGCCCCAGTTTCCGCCACCCTAGTCATGTGGTCCGGATCTCGGGGTTCAATGTTTGTGTCCTAGCCTCTCTGCTCTGATCCTGACTCTGATGAAAGGCAAAACAGATCCTGTGCTCTTCCTCCATAAATAGCCCCAGCAAAGCAGGTAAGACAGCCATGAGAAAGCCTAGGGAGTGTTTTTGACGCAGTTGGAACCAGGGGTTACTGGTACTGAAGAGGAAATGCACTTTCTGGTTAAGAAGACTTTGGACTGTGAAACAAAGACAGAGAAAGAGAGTTCAGAACCACTTAAGAGTCTGATACAGGGCTCATTAAGAACGAAGAATGATACTGGGAAAAGCCCAGCTTGGGGGTTGAGTTCTGACCTCCAGTCTGGTTTTCATGCTGTAACCTTAAGGAAGTCATTATGCGTCTTTGGGCCCTTTTTTTTTTTTTTCTTCTCCTTTTGAGACAAAGTCTCACTCTGTCACCCAGGATAGAGTGCAGTGGCACAATCTTGGCTCACTGCAACCTCCACCTTCCGGGTTCAAGTGATTCTCCCGCTCAGCCTTCTGAGTAGCTGAGATTATAGGCATGCACCACCATGCCTGGCTAATTTTTGTATTTTTAGTAGAGATGGGGTTTCTCCATGTTGACCAGGCTGGTCTTGAACTCCTGACCTCAAGTGATCCACCTGCCTCGGCCTCCCAAAGTGCTGGGATTACAGGTGTGAGCCACTGCACCCGGCCAAAACTGTGAGGGAGGCAGGGAGCCCATCACCCTCCTGGTGGTGGCCGGTCCCCTGCCCCGTCTTTGGGCTTTAATTTCCTTCTTTGTAAAATCGCAAGGGGAAAGGAAGGAATCAAGATATCAAGTGTCCGATTTTCCCACTTTGTCCTGACTGACCTGCACATTCTGTGACAGTGTCCATACATACATTACATGAATGATCACTTGGTAAAAAAATCCAAAGAAAGTAAGTCTTTGTTATATGGGACACCCTAAAATATAGTGTTTACGAGCTCCTTCTCTCTCAGGAGCCAGCCTCCCTGGGTTCAAATCCAAGCTTGCCACTTATTAGCTATGTGACCTTGGGCAAGTTACTAAACCCCTCTGTGTTTCAGTTTCCTCATACTCAATACAAGAATAATATTTGTACCATTGCATAGGGCTGTTATGGATCAAAGAACTTAAGAGAACTATAAGGCACTTAGGATAGAGCCTGACATATGGTAAACACTCATTAAATGTGACTCATCGTTACCTAGCAAAAGCTGATACTCTCCATTCCACTTAAACGAAATTGAATGATAACTGAAGATTTCCCTTGGCTAAAATATTTAAAACTATAATTATTTCAGATATAAACTAAGAAGTATAATCATTTTGAAGGTAAATCTTTCTAAAACACACCATAAAATGTCTTTTGTTTTGTTTTTTGAGACAGAGTCTGGCTCTGTTGCCCAAGCTAGAGTGCAGTGGTGCAATCTCAGCTCACTGCAACCTCTGCCTCCCGGGTTCAAGCGATCCTCCTACCTCAGCCTCCCAAGTAGCTGGGACTACAGATGCATGGCTGGCTAATTTTTGTATTTGTTATTAGAGACGGGGTTTTGCCATGTTGGCCAGGCTCGTCTGGAGCTCCTGACCTCAGGTGATCCGCCCACCTCAGCCTCCCAAAGTGCTGGGATTACAGGCATGAGCCACCAGGCTCAGCCTAAACAGTATCTATAAATTATTATTCTTTTCCTCCTCCCCTGACTTAGGCTCAACAAGAATGGGAGCCCCCTGAAGGCAGAGGTCTCTATCTCTACCTTTCCAGTTGGCAGGAGTACCTGGCACAAAATGAGTACCAATACGCTTTTGCTTAGGAAATGAAGGGAGGACAGTCACAGGCATTAGGCTCTAGGATGCTTTATGGAGATGACACTCTTGGAGGTTGATAGGGGATATTGAGCTAAAGGACCCAGACAAGGGTCCTTTAGTGCCTGAGTTTTAAAGTTTTCTCACCTCTGTCTTTCCAACTACCATTATGACCACAGTTGTCCTCTTAAATCCTGCCTTTGAAATCCTGGGCCTGCTTAGAGCAAGGTCTCCCCTTGGGGACCGCCACAACCGACTGCCATGGTGCAGGCAAACAGAGGCCAGATCATCAGAACAGCTGCCCTTGGTGACTGCTTATTCCTTCACACACACTATGGCATCTACCGTTCACACACAAATGTGTGCGATTGAAATCATTATATTCCCATTTTACAGATTAAAACAAAACAAGGCTTAATGTGGTTAAGTGACTTCTATGCCACCAGTAAGTGGAAAAGCTGAATACTAAAATCACAGTTGGCCTGGCACAGGGGCTCATGCCTGTAATCCCAGCACTTTGGGAGGCTGAGGCAGGCAGATCGCTTGAGCTCAGAACTTCAAGACCAGACTGGGCAACATGGCGAAATGCTGTCTCCACAAAAAATACAAAAATTAGCAGGGCATGGTGGCGCACACCTGTAGTCTCAGTCACTTGGGAGACTGAATGGGAAGATCCCTTGAGCCCAGGAGGTCGAGGCTGCAGTGAGTCATGATCCCGCCACTGCACTCCTGGGTGACAGGGGAGACCCTGTCTCAAAATAAAATAAAATAAAATAAAATCACAGCTTGAATAGCTTGTTCAAAACCTGGCCACCAATTGAAGTGGCCAGGTGTGAGGACAAAAGGCTGGGCAGTGGTGGGGTGGATAGGAATCAGGAAAATGGAAGATGAGGAGTACAGGGCAGGCCATTTGAAGGTGACCTAGAACAATTTCACAGACGGCATAGGCACCAACAGCAGCTTTGTATGGGATAACCAATAGGGGGATGAGTCAAGATCACTTAAAGGGTGGAATGAGGAGCCTGCCTCCAGAAGCTTCCATCTCCTTTTGGATTCACCATGGCCTAGTAATCTGGCAGCCAAATGTGTTAGAACTATATGTAAACAAAGAGTAAAAAGGCTAGGCAGGGCTGGGTATGGTGGCTCACACCTGTAATCCCAGCACTTTGGGAGGCTGAGGCAGGTGGATTACCTGAGGTCAGGAGTTCAAGACCAGCCTGGCCAACATGGTGAAACTCTGTCCTTATTAAAAATACAAAAATTAGCTGGGCGTGGTGGCAGGCACCTGTAATCCCAGCTACTCCAGAGGCTGAGGCAGGAGAATTGCTTGAACTCAGGAGGCAGAGGTTGTGGTGAGCTGAGATCGCACCAGTGCATTCCAGCCTGGGCGACAAGAGTGAGACTCCATCAACAAATAAAAATAAAAATAAAGGCTAGACAGAATCTATTTTTTAAGTGCCCATACTCTGACACCACTTTGAAAGGCTCAAAGAACTTCCTAGTTTAGTTCTTGGTCTTCAGATTTGTTTTGTTAGGAAAGCTCTCATAAGTAGATGGTTGTTTTTATTTTTTAAAATGCATTATGGCGATACATAATTATCTCTTGCTTTGATGAAGGCAATTCAGGCCCTCTAGTGCCCGCTGTGCCCAGGATCTTAAAGATAAAGAGTAGCAGATCATAGGATTGTAGTGAATACATGTATGACAGTCCGTGAAGGGCTGTCAGGGAGGGGAGGGAATGGACCTGTTCTCTGTGTCTAAGAGGGCAGAGCCAGAACCAGCTCTGCTACAGAACCAGAAGAAAGCTACAGGAAGAAGTTGTTTTTTTTCTTAGTAAAGAACTTCTCAAAAATCAAGTTGTTTAAGACCAACGGGGTTGTCTTCAACAGAAATGATCTCCCTGTCAAAAGAGGCAGGCAAGCAAGCAAGCAGAGGTCGGATGAGCACTTGGCAGGGAGGCGTAACAGGGGGCTGGGGCTCAGGGTTGGCCCCACTGACCTCTGATCTAAGTCCCCTCCCATCCCAAAGGGGACTTGTCTGCCTGCAAGTGAGGGCCCTCCTTACAGTAGGAATCTGTGTCTGGTGGATTTGCCAAGCATATTCCAGTCCATGAGACCTTTATTAGTGCTCCTGCTTTGGGATGGGTCATTTCATTTCTTCAAAATTAAGATATAATTCACACACCAAAATATTCACCTTTTAAGTATACAATTCAGTGGGGTTTAGTATATTCACAAAGCTGAGCAACCATCACAACTATCTCATCCTAGAACATTTTCATCACCCCAAAGGAAACCCACACCCATTAGCTCTTACTCATTTTTCTCTCCCTCCAGCACCGGTAACCACTAACCTGTTTTCTATCTCTATGCATTTGCTAACTAAGACTGTTTCATATTAATGGAATCATACAATGAGTGACTTTTTGGGTCTGACTTCATTTACAATGTTTTTAAGGCTCATCTACATTGTAGTATGTATCAGCACTTTATTCCTTTTCTTGGCTGAATAATACTCCAGTGTGTGTATACTCCATTTTCTTTATCCACTTATCTATTGATTGACATTTTATTTTGACTTGGCTATCATGAATAATGCTATCAACATTTGTGTAGAAGTTTTTGTTTAAACATGTTTTTAATTATCTCGGGTGTATACCTAGGAGGGGAATTGCTAAGACATAACTCTATGTTTAACTTTTTGAGGAACCACCACTGTTTTCCAAGGTGGCTGCACCACTTTACATTCCTACCAGAAATGTATGAGGGGTTCCAATTTGCCAACACTTGTTATTGTCCATATTTTTATTATAACCATCCTATAGGATATGAAGTGTTATCATTATGGTTTTAAATTTGCCATTTCCCTGATGGCTAATGATGTTGAGCACCTTTTCATATGTTTATTGATCATCTGTACATCTTCTTTGGAAAAATATCTATTCAAATCCTTTGCCAATATTTTTTGCAATTATTTAATTTTTGTGGGGATTTGGGGTTTGTTTAAGACAGGGTCTCACTCTGTTGCCCAGACTGGAGCACAATGGCCCCATCATAGCTCACTGCAGCCTTGACCTTCCAGGCTCAGGATCCTCCCACTTCAGCCTCCCAAGTAGCTGGGACCACAGGTGAGCACCACCAAGCCCACCTAATTATTTTTATTATAACTCGTAGAGATGGGGTCTCCCTATGCTGTCCAGGCTGATCTTGAACTCCTAGGCTCTAGTATCCTCTCACCTCAGCCTCCCAAAGTGCTAGGATTACAGGCATGAGCCACTGAGCCCAGCTTTTCATTTTCTTGATAGTGTCCTTTGAAGCAAAAAGTTTTTAATTTTGATGAAGTCCAATTTATCTATTTTTTTCTTTGGTTTGCTTGTGCTTTTGGGGTTGTATCTAAGAAAGCACTAAGAAAGTCCAAGGCCACAAGATTTACACCTATGTTTTTTTCTAAGAGTCTCATAGTTTCATCTCTTGCCTTTGATGCATTTTGACTTAATTTTTGTATGTAGTGCAGGGAGAAGTCCAATATATGAAATCAACCTAAATGTTCATCAACAGATGAATAGGTAAATAAAATGTGGTATATATACACAATGAGATACTATTCAGACTTTAAAAAGAAGAGAATTCTGTCATTTGTGACAACATAGATGAACCTGGAGGACATTATGCTAAGTGAAATAAGCCAGGCACAGACACAAATACCACATGTTCTCATTTATATGTAGACTCTAACAAAGTCAAACAACTAATCATGGTGGCTCATGCCTGTAATCCCAGCACTTTGCGGGGACAAGGTAGGAGGATTGCTTGAGACTACAAATTCAAGAGCAGCCTGGGCAACATAGGGAGACCACGTCTCAATTAATTAATTAATTAAAGTAAAAAAATAACAAAAAAGTCAAACTCATAGAAGCAGAGAATAGAATAGTGGCTACCAAGGGCTGGCACTCAGGGGTTGGGGAAGAGATTGAGGAAATATTGGTCAAAGGATACAAACTTTCAGTAGACAGTGGGATTAAGTTCAGAAGATCATTGTAGAACACAGTGACTACACTGTATTCTATACTTGAAAATTGCTGACAGGCCAGGCACAATATCTCACGCCTGTAATCCCAGCACTTTGGGAGGCAGAGATGGATGGAGTCACCTGGGGTCAGGGGTTTAAGACCAGCCTGGCCAATGTGGTGAAACCCCCATCTCTACTAAAAATACAAAAATTAGCTGGGCATGGTGGCACACACCTGTAATCCCAGCTACTCAGGAGGCTGAGGCAGGGGAATTGCTAGAACCCAGGAAGTGAGGCGGAGGTTGCAGTGAGCCGAGATCACACCACCGCACTCCAGCCTGGGCAACGAAGCGAGACTCCATCTCAAAAAAAAAAAGAAAGAAAAAAAGGAAAATTGCTGACAGAGTAGATTTCAAATGTTCTCACCACAAAAATGGTAAGTATGTGATGTAATAAATATGTTTGTTAGATTAGCCATCCCACAATGTACATCAAAATATGATGTACAACATAAATACAATTTTGTTAATTAAAAGTAAATTAATTTTAAAAATCAATTGAGCATAGATGTTTATTTCTGGACTCTCACTTCTAGTCCATTGATCTATATGTCTATCCTTATGCCAGTATCAAACAGTCTTAATTACTGTAGTTTTGTGGTAAGTTTTAAAATTAAGAAATGTGGTTTCTCCAACATTTTTTTTTCTTCAAGATTGTGTTGGCTATTTTGAGCTTCTTGCATTTCCATATGAATTTTAGGATTAGCTTGTCAATTTCTCAAAAAAAGCCAGCTGAGATTTTGAGATAAGTTGCATTGAATCTATAGCTCACTTTGGGTAGTATTGCCATCTTAGCAATATTAAGTTTTCCAATCCATGAGCATGGGATGTCTTTCCATTTACTTAGGTTTTCTTTAATTTCTTTCGTGATTTTTTATAGGTTTTAGTTTACTAGTTTTGCACCTTTTTTGTTACATTTACTTCTAAGTGGTTTGTTCTGTGTGATGTTACAAGAAGAATATTTTCTTAAGTTCTGGATTCTTCTTTGCAAGTGTATAAAACTGCAAGTGAATTTTGTATATGGATCTTGTATCCTAAATTTTGCTGAACTCATTTATTATCTCTAAGTTTTTTTTAATGAATTTAAGTTTTTCTATGCAGACAGTCCCCAGCTTACAATGGCTCAACTTATGATTTTTTGACCTTACTATAGGTTTATTGGGACATACCCCATCATAAGTCAAGCAGCATATGTATAGTAGTTCACGTCTATTTGCATGCAAAACAGCTAGTTTTACTTTTATTCCTTTCCAATTTAGATGTACTTTATTTCTTTTTCTTGCCTGATTTCTCTGGCTAGAACCTGCAGCATAATGTTGACTAAAAGTAGCAGGAGCAGACATTCTTATCATGTTCCTGATGCTAGAAAAAAAAGCTTTCAGTCTTTCACCATTACATATTACATTAGCTGTGGGTTTTTTATACATATACTTTACCTGGTAGAGGAAGTTCCCTTCAATTTCTAGTTTCTTGAGTATCATAAAAGGGTGTTGAATTTTGTGAAATGCTTTTTTGCATCTATTGAAATGATCATATGGTTTTTATATTTTATTCTATTAATATGGTTTATTAAATAAATTGATTTTTCTATGTTGAACCAACCTCAAATTCCTGGAATAAATCTCACTCGATCATGGTGTAATCTTTTTATATGTTGTTGGATTCATTTTTCTAGTATTTTGTTGAGAATTTTTGCATCTATATTCATAAGGAATGTTGGTCTGTTGTTTTCTTGTGGTATTTGTCTGACTTGGGTATTATGTAAGTTATACAGCCAGTATCATTATAATACTGGCTTCACAGAATGAGTTGAGAAGTGTTCTCATTTTAGGGAAGAGTAGTGTCAGTTCTTCTTTAAACATCTGGAAGAATTCACCAGTGAAATCATCTTTTTTTAATGGGAAGGTTTTTTTTTAATATTCACTATCTTTTCTTGTTATACTCTGTTCAAATGTTTTAATTCTTCTTGAGTCAGTTTCAACTGTTTGTGTCTTTCTAGGAAATTTTCCATTTTAGGTTATCTAATTTTTTGGCATCAGTTTTTGTTTTTAAAAGATTACTCTGGCTGCTATATAAAGAACAGATTACAGCAGGGCAAAAGTAGACATGAAGAGACCTGTCAGGTAGTTATTGCAATGATAGTTGGAACAAGGACCATGGAAGTGTGGATTGAAAGAAGTAGACAAATTCAGGACACATTTTGGAGGGAGAATCAACAGGTCTTGAGGATGGATTAGCTGTGATAATAGGGAAAAGCAGGAAATAGAAATAATGCCTATACTTTTGTCTTGAGCAACTAAATGTTTGAGCTCTTTGGTGAAAATTGAGAGGACATGAGAAATTGGTTTGGGATGGAGAATCAAGGGTCTTCTTTATCCTTGCGAAGTTTGAGATGCCTTTTAGATTTCCAAGTGGAGCTACAAACATGGAGACATAAGTCTAAGATCAGGGAAAAGTATGGGCCAGAGATACAAATTTGGTACTGTTCAGAGGAAAGATGGTACTTAAAGCTATGGCTCTGGATAGACTGTGCAGACAGAGAAAAGAAAAAAAGGCCCAGGCGCAAGTGTTGAAATGTTTCAATAGTTCAAAGCTGAGCAGAGGAGGAGCCAGGACAAAAGGCTGAAATGGACTGGTCATCAGGTAGGAGGAAACTCAAGAAGTGTGATGTCGGAGTATACAAGAGAAAAAAAGAATTTCAGGAAGACGGGTAGTGGTTGTCCATGTCACGTTCTTCAGAAAGCCTGAGTGATAGGAGAACAGAGAAATGTCAGTTGCATCTAAGAAAAGGATAAGCCACTAAATTAGGAAAAAATGCTTTAAAATGTAATCCACAATTGTTGAATTTCAAATCTCCATCAAGTCTGTGTCTCTATGAATTGGAAAGACAAACAAGGCATTCTCCAGTAGCTCAAAGAACAGAGAACATCAAAGTGACTTGAATGATGAATCCAGATATTAGTAGGAACTCCTAAGAAAAAGAACAGAGCAAATGAGGAAATGATCATCAAAGAAAAAGTAGAAGAAAATGTCCCTGAACTGAATAAACACTGTAGCTTTCAGATGAAAAGGAATTACAGAATACCAGACAACTCATTAAATAAATGAGATGTACTATTTGATATAAACTGCTGAAATTTTCCTTCAGTTAGTCTGCCAATGTAGATTTACTAAGCTCCAGCTATGTGTTACACATAAATAGAAGAAAATTTCTATAGGCTAATCATAGCAGGAGAAAAATAAGTTATGTTTAAATGAAAAAAATAAGATTGCCACAGTTCTCTGAAATAATGAAGTCAAGAAGAAAATAATGTAACATCAAGAGTTTGAAGGGAAAAGATTGTAAACTAAAAATCTACATCCAACCATGTTGTTATTTATGTTTGTACATAAATAACAAACATAAACAAATACAACGCTCAAATAACTTTTGGGGTATAGGTAAAGCCACATTCTGAGAACAATTTTTGGGTTTAAATATTGGTTTAAATACTTTTAGCTTTTAAATAAGAAAAACATTTTTAAAAACTCAGCATTCAACTAAAAAAGATAGTTAGAGGAAATTAATTCAATCAATCCAATTAGCAGATGGTAAAGGTAAAAGCAGATATTAAGGAATTAAATACCCACACAAACACGCACATACACAGGAAGTAGAATTAGTAAACACCTCCAAGAGCAAATCCCTTGAAAAGACCAGCAATAGAGGAAAGTAACAATTATCTCTAATCACAAAAAATAGAAACACAAACAATGATGGAAGTGAGAAAGGTGATATAATCAGAGATTCTAAGGAAATGCTAAAATTTGAATTAAAATAAATAATCCTCAAAAAATATAAATTACCAAATTATTCTGAAGAAGATACAGAAAAGACAGACAAAAATAGAAAGGTCTAGAAAACTTATTTTTAAAATAAGCCCTTAAATAGGCACCAGGTCCATACAGTTTTACAGGTGAATTATTTTAAGCCTCATGCAATAGATAACTTCTGTGCTATTTAGGTGGGTCCACAGCATAAAAGTTGAAATACTCCTTAATTTGTTTTATAAATCTAACATGTCATTCATATCAAACTTGATAGTTTTTTATTCACAAAGATATACCAAGCACACTAAAAGCTAAATATTAATATCACATAAATATATTTGCAAAAATAGCATGTCAAATACTGCAAATAGAATCAATATATATTAAATTATATATTCATATAATTCATTAAACATTGCATATATTTAATATATGCAATGTATTAAAAGAATAATATATCATGATTACAAGTCTGATTCAACATTAGAAAATCTGTTATTATAATTTATTGTTTTAATAGATTAAGAAAGAAAAATATGATCATCTTGATAAAAACCCAAAAGGAATTTAATAAAAATCCTGAAAACTAAGGATATGTAATTATATCCACACCCATTTAGGAGAAAAATTCTAAGCACAGATCTTAGAAAATCAGAAGAAAGAAGAATGAAGGATACTTATCACTTCAGTGTCTAACATTGTCTTGAAGGGACTAGCTAATGTAATCAACAAAAAAGAAGAAAAAACAAACTAAGAACTTTACATTATTAATTAAACAAACTTTAGTATAATCATACAATGGAAAACTCTGTCACACATATCAGAGAAGATGTAATGTCATGGAAAAATACAATGTATATAAGAGAGACAGTGATAGATGATACAGATTATAGATATAGGCAACATATTGAGGCATATACAACAAAGTTTTGAGCGGAGAACGTTCTGGTGATGGAGACAGTGGGTTGTCCTGTTCAGCTGGCCTCTCATTCACTATTGACTAGAGTTTCAAGGGATTTCAACTAAGTAGGAAGGGGTTTGCCCAGAAAGAGAAAAATCTGACCTAATTCCTATTCTTAGGATCAAAAGGATTCTATAGTCCCCTGGTTACTGAAGGACCCCCAAGACTTCACAGAGTTGATGGAAAACAAGAGTTCCCTTAGAAAACTAATCCCTTAAAATTGTAAACCCTTTATAATTTTATAGTCATTTGAGAGGACCAAGTAATATGGGAAACGAAAATACCACCACATTAGGTTGCAGTCTAGCTGCACCACGAGCTCCAGTATGTGACCTTAGGAAAGTCTCCTTTTCTTTCTGGGCCTCCATTTCCCCATCTGTACAATGAAGGTGCACACTGTAGACAAGACCACTTCTACAAACCTACCTAGCCTAAGTTCTAAGATCTCACAGGTAAAACAAAAACTCACCTCCATCCCCTGGGATGGCTCGGGCAATGCTCCGGCCGCAGTCTAGTCCTCTGGTGTTAGATGGTGTTCTGCTTTGCCCAAAGAGGGCTGAATCCCCAGGAGCCCAACATCCATGCCTGTCCCTTCCATCTGCTGTACTGCTGGACTCTCTAGGATCTTCTTTGGCCCTGCTTCAGGGTTGACAGCAAAGTTATGCTCACAGGCTCCTGTGCTCTCCCAACATGTTGAAACTCAAGCCCATTTGGCAAGAAATTTGGCACCATTGGTGCCAAGGATGGCAGTCTGCGCACAGCCCCACTGCATGCCAGGCTTGGCCTGCAGGTTGGAACTTGCTTTTCTTCTACTCGGGGCTTGAGTCACACTGGGCAGGTACTACAGGGTCACCTGGCTTTCCATGTGGCCTGGGAGAGTTTCTGGCAAGCCTAAGCCAGCTCTTTTGGGCTGTCCTTCTCAAAGATGAGTGGCAGCCAGTGATAAAGTAGCTCCTTGCCACTGGCAGGAAGCCTTTTTACACCCCGAAATGGAAAACCTCTGAGTTTTCATGGATTAGGAAAATTCTGCTTTTTTTTTTTTTTTTTTTTTTTTTTTTGAGACGGAGTCTCGCTCTGTCGCCCAGGCTGGAGTGCAGTGGCGGGATCTCGGCTCACTGCAAGCTCCGCCTCCCGGGTTCACGCCATTCTCCTGCCTCAGCCTCCCAAGTAGCTAGGACTACAGGCGCCCGCCACTACGCCCGGCTATTTTTTGTAGTTTTAGTAGAGACGGGGTTTCACCGTTTTAGCCGGGATGGTCTCGATCTCCTGACCTCGTGATCCGCCCGCCTCGGCCTCCCAAAGTGCTGGGATTACAGGCGTGAGCCACCGCGCCCGGCCCGGAAAATTCTGCTTCTTGAGACCTTACCTGAGGCCAGGCTAGGCTTGAACTCTTAAGAAACATGGTGGAGGAAATCTTTCTATAGGTCCACAGGAAATGGAGGAGATGTTCCTGCTCAGGCTTCAGGGTCAAGAAGAAAAGCCTGGTCCAAATGCTTAGTCCAGTTACCTCCTAACCTCTTTTGTGAATTAGTTTTTTTCTTACATGCTGTGTTACTTCTTTGGTTTAGTTCTTATATGCTATGTTATTCCTTTGCATTGCTATAAAGGAATACCTGAGGCTGGGTAATTTATAAAGAAAAGAGGTTTGTCTCATGGTTCTGCAGGCTGTACAAGCACGGCACCAGGATCTGCTCAGCTTCTGGGGAGGCCTTAGGAAGCTTACAATCATGGAGGAAGGTGAAGGAGGAGCAGGCCAGTCACATGGCGAGAGCGGAAGCGAGAGAGGGAGGGCACCATGTTCTTTCAAACAACCAGATCTCGCAAGAACGAACAGAGTGAGAATTTACTCATTCCCAAGAGGACAGCACCAAGCCATTCATGAGGGATCCACCCCCATGACCCGAACACCTCCACTAGGCCCCAGCTCCAACACTGGGTTTCACATTTCAACATGAGCTCTGGAGGGGACACACATCCAAACCATATCACATGCTTTGTATGGTGTCTGGTAAACATACAGTACAGTAACGGCTTAATAAATGTGAGTTGACTCTTCCTCCTCCCTAAACCTTCCCTGTTTTAGATGCCCTGACACACACACACACACACATACACACACACACACACACACACACACTCCTTTCCCAACCAGGGCCCTGGAAGCCCATATTATGGAGGAATTAGAAAGTAGATAAAGGGGCCAGGTGCAGTGTCCCACACCTGAAATCCCAGCACTTCGGGAGGCTGAGGTGGGTGGATCACTGGAAGTCAGGAGTTCAAGACCAGCCTGGCAAATATGGAGAAACCCCATCTCTACTAAAAATACAAAAATTAGCTGAGCATGCTGGCGCATGTCTATAATCCCAGCTACTCGGAAGGCTGAGGCAGAAGAACTGCTTGAACCCAGGAGGCAGAGGTTGCAGTGAGCCAAGATCACACCATTGCACTCCAGCCTGGGCGACACAGCAAGACTCTTGTCTTAAAAAGAAAAAAAAAAAAAAGAAAAGAAAAGAAAAGAAAAGAAAAAGAAAGAAAGCAGATAAAGGGACCAATACACTCCCCACCATACCTCACTTTCCAAATGTGACTCTTCCTCCGACTCCCAACCACACTGCCAAGAGAAGGCCCAGAAGCCCTCTCCCTCCACACCCCAGAACATCGCAATTATATTCAATAGTTACTGAGCAGTTCTCCTGTGCCAGGAGCTGTGCTGAATGCCTTTTGTGCAGGATTCCCCAACCCAGGAGGCAGGTCAGGCCACCCTCAGGGGTCCCAGCCAGGCCCCAGTTTTCAAAACAAAACCTTCTGGGACTCCTGCAGCCTCAAAGCCCAATCCTTTAGGCAACACCAGCCCCAAAGATCCCCAAGCAGCCAGGCACGGTGGCTCACACCTGTAATCCCAGCACTTTGAGGCCGAGGCAGGCAGATTACCTGAGGTCAGGACTTCGAGACCAGCCTGGCCAACATGGTGAAACCCTGTCTCTACTAAAAATACAAAAATTAACTGGGCATAGTGGCAGGCACCTGTAGTAATCCCAGCTACTCAGGAGGCTGAAGTAGGAGGATCACTTGAACTCAGGAGGCAGAAGTTGCAGTGAGCCAACATTGCACCACTGTACTCCAGCCTGGGTGATAGAGTGACTCCATCTCAAAAAATATTTTAAAAAATGATCTCCAGGCATGGCTTCCTGAGGCTGGACATTACTGAGAACAAGCCTTCGAAACCCAGCGCTCTCCCACATGCCCCCTTTTTTAATCTTACAATTGTAATTTCGACTTTTTTCTGAACTGATATAGCAATGTTCCTTGGAAAACCAAAAAAATTGAAAATGACATTTATCAAAGTCATTCTATCAACTTTGCTTTTCAGTTGGGTTTTTACCGAGTTTGACAAATTGGAGATACAGTAACAGCTTTCTAGTCCTTTCATAAATATATAGATCTGCAACCCTGAAACTTGAAAGGAAAGGAAATTATCCGTTTAAATAGACTGGGTTTGCCCGGCAGCTCCCTTTCCCCTTCCTTTCTCTCCCTATACATATTAACAGAATTTCATAAGATGTCTCCTAGCAGCGTTTCCACTACAATTAATTGCTTTTCACTCAAAGTGACACATCTAAGAAATGAACTAGCACAAAGAAAGATATATTTAAGAAATTGAGAGCTCAGTTAACTTTGCTACGGACTGCTGTGAAAAGAAGTAGCTCTTCTTTAGAAAAAGAGGGACTCTCGAAGATTAAAGTTTGCCTCACTTAGAAAAAGATTATAAGAAACAGAGCAAAATGTTATCAGGTGTTGCCTCTGGGTGATCGAAGGGTAGATACACATTTCCTTGCTTCTAATGCTTTTGTGAGCTTTCTACATGTTCAAAAATAAGCATGAGTTAGTCTTATAGAGAAAAGAAAAATATATACTCGGGGTGATGGCTGCTGAGATTAAGACCCCAATCTCACAAGTCATTTCCCACCTCTCACTTCCCACCTTTTCCTCGTGAAAACATCAGGGGAAAGGAGGGAGAAGGTTGTATCATTGAGAAGGCCTTGTCCTTAAGTGAGCAGATGAGAACTCAAGAGATCGCACAACTTGCCCACAGTCACGAGGTCATTGGCAAAGTTATGATTGCTCTCTGTGGCTCTAGGTTATCGGGTTATCTGCCCATAAAATTATGTGATACTTTTCCCATTGCTCAGTTCTAATAAATAATTAAAAAATGTTCTAAGGCAGTCCAGAAACAGGCACACCCATTAGAATAGATACTACCAAGGAAACAGAAAACAACAAGTGTTGGCGAAGATAGGAAGAAATTGGAAGCCTTGTGCTCTGTTGGAGGGAACATATGATTGTATACAACTGCTGTGGAAGCTAGCATGGTAGCTCCTCAGAAAATTAAAAATAGAACTAACATATGCTCCAGCAATTTCTCCTCAGGGAATATTTCCAAAAGAGTTGAAAGCAAGGGTCTCAAGAGATATTTGCACAAACCCATGTTTACTGCAGCATTATTCACAATAGCCAAGAGATGGGAACAACTCGACACTGACAGAGGAATGAAGACAATGCATATCCATATTATGGAATATTATTCACCCTTAAAGAGGAATGAAATTCTGATACATGCTTCACATGGATGAACCTTGAGTACATTACAGTAAGAAATAAGCCAGTCACAAAAATACATATACTGCATGATTCCACTTATATGAGGTATCTAAAATCATCAAATTCATAGAAACACAAAGTAGAGCGGTAGTTACCAGGGGCTGGAGGGAGGAGGTGAGAGTAGTTATTGTTTAACGGGTATAGGTTTCAGTTTTGCAAGACAAAAGCCTTCTGGAGTGCTGCTTCACAACAATGTGAGTATATTTAACATGACTGAACTGTACACATAAAAATGTTAAAACAGCCGGGCACGGTTTCTCACGCCTATAATCCCAGCACTTTGGGAGGCCAAGGCAGGTGGATTGCTTGAGTCCAGGTGTTTGAGACCAGCCTGGCCAATATGGCAAAACCCTGTCTCTACCAAAAATACAAGAATTTAGCTGGGCGTGGTGGCACAGGCCTCTGGTCCCAGCTACTCAGGAGGCTGAGGTGGATGACTGCTTGAGCCTGGGAGGCAGAGGTCACAAAGAGCTGAGGTCACCACTGCCCTCCAGCCTGAGTGACAGAGAGATCCCTTCTCAAAAAAAAAAAATGAAAAGAAACATGGTAAGATGGTCAATTTTATGTTATGTGGGGTTTTTTAAACCACAACTTTATAAATAAAAAGAATAGGTTGAAGACATAAGCAGGCCATTGTCTGTTTCCATGGGCTTAAATGCATTTCTATAATAACCCTGGCAGTGATCTGATTAGCAGGCAGCCTGTGGTCACCCTCTGTTGATCCCATTGTTTCCTTCAATGTGACACCTACAGCAGGAGCCAGACAGAGGTCCACTAGACATGGAGTGGCCATGGCCCAAGAACAGGGAGGGCCCTGACACCAAGCTGACTTCCTGTGGATGCCCTGTAACTCCTAAGTGAGCACCCCCAAGGAAAGACAGCGTTGGCCTCAGAGCTCAGCAGGTCTGAGCCTTTTAAGAGAAGAGGGGTTGGAGTCCGCTCCGGGAAGTGGAGGGCTGAGAGACAGAAAGCTAGGAAGAGTTACAGTCAGGCTCCTGCAGAGTCATAGATCAGTTGGGGCCCAAGGATTAATTTCCAAAGCAGAAAGAGGAACCAGAGATGAGCCGTTCCTGCTGCTGGGCTGCCTCTCATGTTCAGGTCACTCAGCTTGTCTTCTTGGTTTCACTCTGATTCCGCCAGCCTCTGATGTCCTATTACTTACCTTGGCTCCTACCTCTTGTATCTCCCTGATCTTACTACCATTTGCCACCTCTGCTCGTGAATTTTTTCATTTATTCTCCCACTCATTCTTCTGTTCATTCATTCATCCATTTGATCTATTACAGAGTTTAAGAGCACAGACTCTGCAGCCACACTGCCTGAGTTCAAGTCCCAGCTCTGCCCTTGACCTTAAGCAAGTTACTTCTCTGTGCCTCCATTTCTCCATCCCTAAAATGGAAATTAAAATGACGCTTACCTCAAAGTGTTACTAGAACATTAAAGGACTTAAATCCATGCCTGGCACATAGTCAGCACTCAAAGCATGTTAGCTTTGATCACTCACTCATTCAGTCAGCAAACATTCACAAAGTATGCACGTCAGGCACGGGTGAAACTATATTGGGGGCAATGAAGAAAAAGAATCTAGATACAGTCCTTGCCCTTGATTTGCTCCCAATCTAGTGTGGGAAACAGACTTACATGCAACTAAATGTAAACCAAAATAGGAAAATAAGCAAAACACAGTGGGCAAGAGGGCAGAGAGAAAGGAAGAAATGATTTGTTGGGGGAACGTCTTCTCAAAAACATGGCCTGTAAGCTGGACCTATAAGTCAGTGTAAGATTCAAGAAACTAAGATATAAAAAGCTGGAGGGAGCCTCTTCCTGGTGGAAGTTGAGCCTGGAAATGTGTACATACTCGGGAAATGAGAAGTGCTATGCCCCTGGGTTAGGGTTGCCAGAGAAAATGCAGGATGCCAAGTTTGAATTTCAAATAAATTTTCAGTACAAATATGTCCCAAATATACAAAAAAAAAAAAAACACTGCTTACCTAAAACTCAAATATAATATAACCGTGCATCCTATGTTTTTATTTGCTAATTCTGGCAGCCCTATCCTGGGGTGAGAATAAACCTGCTTTGAAACCTGCGACCTAGGTCGCAGTTCAGGGTTCCCCCCCCCGCCAACCCCATTTCTGGTTTGCTACCTTCATGAGTCATTTGGCATTCTTGACTCTGGGCTTCACGGGGACCTTTATGAACTGTCAGCAAATCACTTGGTGTCACTTTGTTATTAACGGTCACCGTCCCCATCCCCCAGGCAGAGATGAATGGAAAAATCTCAAATTTGTTCATCCTGTTGAAGGTCACTGTGTCTTCCGTTTTTATGTTGGCGTCTTTATTTCTGAGATCTTATCTCCTTTTTTTCCCCCTTTGAGATTCATTAACATCATGATGGGAAGGAATTCATTACCTTCATGGCTGTTGGGAAGAGAGGCAGGCAGGGGGGATCCAGCAGAATGGAGTGTCTGAAGCCTACAGCACTGGCTGTGAGGTGCAATGAGATAACCAGGTCTTCAGGGTGGGCCCAGAGCTGCTACAGGCTGGTGGCATTTTGTGCCAACTCTTGGGGCGTGTCTAGCTTCCACCCAGGCTGGGCCTTCCAGAGGTTATCAGCAGTGAGAGAAGCAGCTGCTAAACCTTCACCTACAGAAGAGTAGGCTGGGCAATCTGCAACCAAGTCAGAGGCTGAGGACATGAAAGGCAGTCCTCAGGACCCTCCCCTCATCCATAAAACATGCCATGCAGAGTCATTTCACCCCCCAGCATCCATTCACTGTTCCAGAAAGGTACACCTATTCATCTTTCTCAAAAATGTTTATGGAGAGGAATTATCAGCAAGAGAAAACAAATTCTCAGGCAAGATACTGCCCTTTGTGGGATATCTATTTCTGTAGAACCCTGACAATGGGGATGATGTCTGGTTTGACTGCGGTATGCCTGAGAGCACTGGGGAGAGACAAGCTTTAGGAAAATCCCTGGGGCTGGGGGGATTCTGCTACCCTGATGCCTGCCTATATGATGGCTTAGTTGAAAGACAGATGTTGAAATGAAGTTTCTGAGATTAAAGGAAAGTGAAAGGGGGTGTTCTTTACTTGTTGATACACTCAAAGCTTGCACAGGCTCTCAGGCCAGAAGACATGAGACAAAAACTAATAATGGTAAGAAATGACCCCCCACTTCAACTCAGCTGCCTCAAGCAGGAGGATTTTTCCCATCAGGTGCCACAGACAGAGGACAGAGGACCTACGAGCTTCTCAAGAGCCTCGAAAAATGTTTCATGCACTACAAAAATTCTCATTGACTCCAAGTTACAAAATGAAAATTCCACAGTCAAAATGTAATGAAATGCCCTGAAATTCTGTGTTACATCAACTCTATACATCGTTATACTTAGTATCTGTAAATTTTTTTATATTTGAAAAGAATTAGCAGATTCTTTCACTTCAAGGAATTCCTAACTATGCACAATGATTTCTAAGAAACCACAGCCATTGAAAATAAAATTAGCAAAATAATCCTCAAAGTAAAATTATTAAAATGCCCCCAAAAACTATTTTAGAGAAAATGAATTGCATTTCCAGTGGGATGTGGGGGCATTTTGGTGTGTGCTATGTCATGGGTCAGTGCATCTAGAAATTATACTGCTCAGCTTCTACAAAGGTCTGAACAATCCTGGTCCCAAAGGACCAGGGCCTCCTCAAAAGTTGTAAAGAAAGCAGGTGTACACAGGCAGAAGTGAGAAAGACATGGTCTTTGCAGCCAACTAACTGTTTTGTTCATGTCACTCAGAGACCATTGAAACTGAAAGGAACCCTGGTCATCATGGTGCCCAGTGCAAGGGTGGGGCTGGTCTCTCAGTCTCCAGACATCAAACTTATTTGGTAAGATGAGACACCTGAGGCTCAGAGAGGGAGAGGTCATCACCTAAGGACACACAGTACGAGCTTTCATCAGGGGCCATAGACACAGGATTGAGGAACTACAAGGTTAGAGATCAGACTCCAGACCCCTGCCTCCCAGACTCAGTCCTTGCCACTGTACTATGCCTGGGCTTCCTGCTTCCTTCTCCAGGACACTGAGTCATCCCCCATCCTTAGCAGAATATGTGGGTCACTGGACATTCACTTGCTGGTTTAATTTTGGAGATTCTAGCTCCTATTCTTAGATGTTTATCAATGTTTGCCATCCGTCTGTTCATCCTTGGGCTTTCCTAACCTTGGTCCAGGCACGCTGCTTCCTAGGCCTTCTGGTTGGAGGCCCACTTTATCCTGTGCAAATCACCTAGGCCAAGATTCCCCTTCCAGCCAGGGCTCAACTAGCGGACCAGCCAGCTGGCTGACCCCACAGCCACAGCAATATTTTGGCACCTGGACCATGCCCTCTCTCGCCCCCTTGTGGCCACTCGGAGAGGTGCACCACCTGGGACTCAGGGTCCACCCCATGTGTGCCAAGTGCATTTGAGCCAGCTTGATTATTATTTCTCAAAAGGCTTCCTTATTCCTGGATGACCGTTACTTGGGCAGCACTAACTCTTCTCCACTCCTGCTCTCCCATTTAATTGTCCATGGCAGCCTCAGACTCCCCGTTTGATTCATCAGTCCATCAACTCCCAAGGATTCTTGAGCACCAGTCAAAGGCGATCAATCTGTGGATGAGGATGCAGTCCATGGCGGGAAGTTACAGCCAATAAAGGGCAGCTGAAGCACTCATCAAAAATTTAATAATTTGTGGTTCAAATTAGACTGTGCCAAGAACTTCAAGAATTAAGAAATGGGGTAATGTAGCTGTGGAGGTCCCAGCGAGAAAATAATCAAATTGGTCTTTGGGAGACAGGAAGTCTTTTGAAAACAGAAGGAAAGGAAGAAGAGAATTCTGGAAGAAAACAAAACCCATGAGAAGCAATAACTAACAGCCTGAGCAACATGGGGAAACCCTGTCTACACCAAAGATACAAAAAATTAGCCGGGCGTCGTGGCATACACCTGTGGTCCCAGCTACTTTGGGGGCTGAGGCAAGAGGATCACTTCAGCCTGGGGAAGTCAAAGCTGCAGTGAGGCAAGATCATACCACTGCACTGCAGCCTGGGCAATAAAGTGAGACCCTGTCTCAAAAAATAAAATAAATTAAAAATAAGTAATAACTAAGGTAGAATTATGGTTTAAATAGTATTTCCAAGGAAAAAGATAAAATGGAGATGAACTTTTTTTTTTTTTTTTTTTTTTGAGATGGAGTCTCGCTCCTGTCATGCAGGCTGGAGTGCAGTGGTGCAATTTTGGCTCACTGCAACCTCCACCTCCCAGGTTCAAGCGATTTTCCTGCCTCAGCCTCCCGAGCAGCTGGGATTGCAGGTGTACACCACCACGCCCAGCTCATTTTTGTATTTTCAGTAGAGATGGGCTGGCCAGACTGGTCTCGAACTCCTGACCCCAGGTGATCTGCCCCCACCTTGGCCTCCCAAAGTGCTGGGATTACAAGCATGAGCCACCGCACCTGGCTGAACTCTTTCTTATTATCTTCTCTAGGTGCTCAGATTCCTTTGTTAGTTCTTTTTGCAAAGCACACACCACACTCTGACTCTGCAATGTTTACATGCTCTCCCTTCTGCTATTCATTAAGACCCTCTTGGCTGCAAGTAACAGAAATCTAACTGAAATTAGCTACAGTGAAAAAGAAATGTATGGATGGATATAACTGAGAAGGACATGGAGAACACTGCATAAAGTAAGCCTTCAAATCCAGGGCTGGCACAATATAATCAGTGTGCTCTCTTTTTCAGCTCTGTCTTTTGCTCTGCTTTTCACTGTTTGGGGGCCTCATTCTCTCCTCCCACAGCTGGGCTTCCTCTAAGTGTCAGGGATAATGGCTTCCAAGGCAACCAGTTTCACATCCTTCCAGCTGTGACCCTAAGAAATAGTAAGAAAATGTCTTCTCCACTTGTCTCCAAGGAAAGCCTTTCCTTGACCAGCACCCCACTTCTCTTCTCTCCCCTGGATCACAGGAGCTAGAAGCCTGGGAACTACATGTTCCAGAATCCCTGTCTTCAGAGTCCTGCATCGAAAAACACCCATGAGAAGCACTTGCCAAGATCTAGAAGGTAGAAAGAAGGCAGAAGCCAGATTTTTGCCCCTCTGGCAATGTCAAACTTTGGGCTTAGGCAGACATGGCATTTTCCAGCAGCTTCTAGGTACTTTCCTGAAAATCTCAGGCCTTGGGATTGGAGGCAACTGAGATCATCCCTAGTAGTTTTCCGAGTTCCTTCAAATTCCCTATCTGTGAAAGCTAGTGACAAAACCAGTGGCCTTCCTTGACCTTGGCTTGTCCAGACTGTCTTTTGAGTTTTGTTTGTCCAGATTTTCCAAGCACCTGATTGCCTTCATTAAATCCCTTTCCACATGGAAGGCCTAGAGTGGTTTCTGTTTGTGACTATACCCCAGGTGATTTATGCATGCACCTTGTGTGGGAGTATGGGGAATGAGGGAAGTCAGGGAGAAAATCCTAGGAGCCAAATCAAGAGCAAATAGTCGAAGAAATGTTCAGGTAGGGGACGAGGTAAGACCATGAAGGGTGCTGAGTGCCAGACAGACTCGATGTGCTGGGGAAAAAGGAAGCCAGGTGAATATGATGACAAGGGCCACATTTTAGGACAACCCATGGTGGCATGTATGGGACAGATAAGGATGAGGGCAACAGAAAGGAGGCAGTAGCAATAGAAGTGCCCTAGAATGGGGAAATGGGAAAGTACAGAAAAGGGTGTATTTGACAGGTGTGTTGGAAGAAAAAGCAGGATATTTTGGTATATTGTAATTAAGGACTTAATAGTGGCTGCCATTTATGAAGTTATGATTATGCATCAGGTGACGTGCTAGGTTCTTTACTTATATTTGTTATAATCCTGCAAGGCCAAAACCATCTATATTTACAAAGAGGAAAACCAGGTTCTAGGAATATTCTTTGATAGGCTCAAGGTCAATCGGCCAGGGACATGAGCCAGAACTTGAGCTCTCCTCTGCTGCCCTTCACAGCGTACATTCATCCCACCAAACTGGGCTGCTTTTTTTCCCACTCCGGGCCTTTTAACAACAAACAGCCACGCTCCATCCTCACCTGGTAAGAGGCAGTGGCAGATAATCAGAAGAGTAGAGCCTCTGTCCCCCTGACATGAAGCTCTTAAGAGGGAATGACCAGTCAAATCCAAATTGACAGATATTCTGTAAAACAACTGGCCTGATCTCCTTAAAAAACGTCAATGTTATAAAAGACCAAAAACAAAAAAGACTGAAATACTCTTTGAGATGAAAAGAGACTCAAGAGACTTGACAAGTAAATGCAGTAAGTGATCCTGGATTGAATCCTAAATAAAAAAAAAAATACTATAAGAAACATTTTGTAAACAATTGGGAAAATAAGCCAGATACCCGTTAAATGGTAATGTATTGATGTGAAATTTCCCAAGTGTAATCATTGTATTATGGTTCTGTGGGAAAATGCCCTTGTTCCTTGGAGATAAACTGAAATATTTAGAAGTAAATCAACACAATGTTCCCAAGTAATTCTCAGATGGATTAGCAAAATTAGTTAGGTAGCTGGGTAAGGTAGACAGAGAGAATGCAGATGTGGCAGAATGCTAACCATTAAAGGGTCCAGGGGGGTTACCATACAATCTTTCCATAGTCTGAAATTTTTCAAAATAAAAATGAGGGAAAAAACCTTAAATGTATCCATTGCCCCACCCCTGCAAGGGAGAGAAAGGAAAAAAGAGGAAGGCCTTTAAGTTGAACATGCCTGAGTTTGCAACAAAGCGTCTGCCACTTCCTAGCCGTGGGACCTCTGAGCCCTCAGCTGGAGAAGTGCGCAGTAATGCCAACCCACTGTGCTTCTGTGGGGGTGATGTCAGACACAATCGGTGTGAAGCCGGGAGCTCAGCATCTAGCACAGTGTTCTCACTGTTCATATTTGTTCTCTTCCCTTCCTCCTTCCTAATCCCCATTTCATCTGCAGAATCCATTCAACTGGGCACTGAGGGAGATTAGCTCAGGATAAATAAGAAAAACTATGGATCCTGCAGGGCACACAATGGAGACGTGACGCCCCTGCAGGGACACTGACTGCAGCCTGCCTGCCTACCTGTGATGCAGGCTGGCCAATCCTCTGAATGTCAGACTTTTGGCTGGGGACATCGACCAGCCAAAAGTCAAAAATGCCTCCATCCCAGATTTTGTCACCCACAATTTGCTGGTTAATATCACAGATGAGAACTCAGACACAAACCAGAGTTTCTCAAAGTGGGGTCCCTCAGCCCATTGGCAACAGAATCGGCTGTGGCTCAGATTCCTGAGCCCCACTCAGCTCTGTTGAGTCAGCTTCCCTGGAGTGGCCATGGGAGTGTCCATGCTAACACTGATGTCTATGTGGCTCCGAGGCACAGTCGAGTCTGAGTGCCCCTGACCTGCACTGTGGCTGTGGGAGATGTGCTACCTTATTGCAAAACTGGTCCACTGGAGGAGTAAATTCCTGTGGTGAGTGCCTAATAATAACATGCAAAGGCTATACCTACCACAAAAATGTCTGTCAATAGGAGCAAACAGAAATACAAATCGACTTGTACATAAAGATAAAACCGGGCCTGGCACGGTGGCTCATACCTGTAATTCCAACACTTTGGGAGGCCAAGGCGGGTGGATCACCTGAGGTCAGGAGTTCAAGACAAGCATGGCCAACATGGTGAAACCCCATCTCTACTAAATATACAAAAATTAGTCAGGTGTGGTGGTGGGCACCTGTAATCCCAGCCACTCGGGAGGCTGCAGCAGGAGAATCACTTGAACCCAGGAGGTGGAGGTTGCAGTGAGCCGAGATCGTGCCATTGCACTCCAGCCTGGGAAACAAGAGCGAAACTCCATCTCAAAAAAAAAAGAAAGATAAAAGCATGAGGCTTAGGAAGAAAGCAGTGCTTCTCTCTGGCCTGCGCCAGCTCCTGACTCAAAGTGTGCAAATGAGACACTGCCCAGCCTTGGAGTGAGGAGGTCCATAGTCTAGAGCCCCCAAACAATCATTGCATCTTAAGACTGAAAGGATCAGAGTGGGCTCGAAGGCCTGGGCAGAAGAAGCCCCTCCACCCACCACGACTCTGGAAAACCACAAAAACCAACAGTTCTCTCCTTCAGACATTTGCAATACGCAATGATTCTATAGTATCTTGTAAATCCTAAGAGATCCAGAAATCCTAATGAGGAGATGCTCACTTAGATTCTGCTCCAGATCTGCCAGTGCCTCTCTGCACTGTGCCCAGCAGCCTCAGAGGACTCTGTGGGGGTGGATGCTCTGTCGGATGCCACTTAGGTGAAGGAAGATGACAGCAGTCATCTGGGTTCCCTGAGGGCCCTGAAAGAGCTTGTTAGTGGATGTTTGGTTTGGAAGGTTACTGAGCTCCTTCCTCTCTCTTCCAGCCCAAGAGATCAGACCATTTGGCCAGGAACATTCCCTTCCAACTCTGAGAATCCTCCATGCCAAGCTAGCTCCTGCTCAGGGCAGGCATCTCCCCACAGGGTCTGAGCTATTTTAGGAGACTTGATATCCCGCACTCAGCCCTAGGGAGGGGAAGAAAAGGACAGACAATTGGGCGATATCCACCCCCATCCCCAGACTGAGAAAGATGACAGACGGCCATTTGCAACTTTAACTCTTTCTTGGCTCTGGCAAAGACCAATGCATCCCACTTAGCAAAGCCTCAGATGGCAGCATGGTAACCATTTCAATTCGAGAAAAAAAAATAACAAAGTGTAGTGGGAGAAAATTATGCATGGAAAGTGACTTTTAAAAATTGCCTTTAAATATTACAGCCAAAGTGAGAGGCTGGAAATTGCATCAGAACATTTTTTGGTGTGGTTTAACACTGAAGAAATCAACCACTTTCCCAACTGCAGGGCTTCAAGTAATATTTCATCTTTTCAGGAACACCCAAGTTTAGTTTGACAAAGAGGAAAATTGGATTAAACTCTTCAGATTTAGGGTGTTTTCCTGGCACCCTAGCACATAAAGTCACTCACAAGTAAACCCAGGTAAATTTAATCTTGGTGGTTTCAATGTTTAATGCCTTTATGTCCTTTTTTTTTTGAGACAGGGTCTCACTCTGTCACCCAGGCCAGGCTGGAGTGCAGTGGCACAATCATGGCTCACAGCAGCCTCGACCTCCTGGGCTCAAGCAATCCTCCCACCTCAGCCTCCCAAGTAGCTGGGACCACAGGCACACGTCACCATGCCTGGCTAATATTTTATTTTGTATTTTTTGTAGAGATGGGGTTTTGCCATGCTGCCCAGGCTGGTCTCGAACTCCCGGACTCAAGCAATCCACCCACCTTGGCCTCCCAAACTGCTAGGATTATAGGCGTGAGCCACAGTGCCTGGTATGTCTTTTGTTTCAATTGTTACCGTCAGTATACAAAGCCCAGGTCCAGGAGCTGGGTGGGTCTAACATCTGGACTTCTGTGCACAGACAGGATGCTCTGCAGGAAGATGTGGAAGGGAGGGAGAGATGGACACAGCCAGCAGGAGGAGAGTCTGCAATGATTCTACAAAGATAAAGGTGCCCTTTTACACATGGTGGTGTGGTTTAAGGCCGGAGGTAATAACTGAGATTTAAGAACTGTGACTCAGTGAATGTCTGTTGGATTCAATCCCATACACAGTCACTGGGGCTAACACTTGGCAGGCACTCGGCCACCCACCAGGGTGGGCAGAAGTAAATAATGCACAGCCCCTGCTGCCTGGTCTCCAGACCTCTCTCAAGAAGAGGAGGATCACACATCCTGGGCACCTGGTAATCCCAAAGCTAATCCCCCATAGAAGAAAACCTAAAGGTGCTGGTGGGCACGTAGTATTTAAGTCCTCCTCAGTTGCAGAAAAACACTGCTGTGTTCTTGATCACCACTTGCTTCTGAAGCAAAGCAAGCACAGCCTCAAGGTCTGACCGCCCACCCAGCCCTGCAGATATCCGCAGATATTCTCTCTCTGCCGGCACCCTTAGAACACGGGGACTCCTTGGCACCTGGCTGACCTGTGATGTCCTCTGACCAGGCCTGATTTCCTTTCTCCCCACGTTCACTTCCTCCTTGCCTACAAGCTCCACAGATCCTTCTGCCAGACCTTCAGGCTCTCTGACCCAGACCTTTCTGCCCCTACATGCCCCTGTGTACTTCTGACTCTTATGGGCCTAACTTGACCTATTGCCAATAAGCCCCAGGTTCCAGTGGTGGCCTTCAAGACGGCTATCAGTCTGAAGTTTGGGACTGAAAAAGCCACTGCACTCAGTGGATTTGCAGCCTCCATAATCTATGCTGCACTTGCCAGATGCAGGCAGTTTGACCATTAAGATGCATCGCTACAAAGCAATTCAACTCATTTGCTCTCTTAGCACCCACCTGTAGATCAGGGCCCTGCGTACACAGCCCCTTGAGTAAGGTCACCAGAGAAAATATACAGCATTCAGTTATACTTGGATTTCTGGTAAATAAATAAGAATTAGCTATAAGTATGTCCCAACTATTGCATGGATGTCCTTTGTTGTTGTTTTTGAGACAGAGTCTCCCTCTGTCACCCAAGCTAGAGTGCAGTGGCACAATCATGTCTCACTGCAGCCTCAACCTCCCAGGCTCAAGTGATCCTCCCATCTCAGCCTCTTGAATAGCTGGGACTACAGGCTTGCACAACCATGTCCAGCTAATTTTTTTATTTATTTATTTTTTTTTTTTTAGGAGTCTTGCTCTGTCGTCACCCAGGACAGAGTGCATGGTGCGATCTTGGCTCACTGCAACCTCCACCTCTGGGTTCAAGCGATTCTCCTGCCTCAGCCTCCCAAGTAGCTGGGGTTACAGATACCCACCACCACGCCTGGCTTATTTTTGTGTTTTTTTTTGTAAAGACAGGATTTCACCATGTTGGACAGGCTGGTCTTGAACTCCTGACCTCAAACAATCTGCCTGCCTCAGATTCCCAAAGTGCTGGGATTACAGGCATGAGCACCCAGCATAATTTTATTTTTTTGTAGAGACCAGGTCTCACTATGTTGCCCAGGGTGGTCTCCAATTGCTGGGCTCAAGCAATCCTCTTTGCCCTGGCTTTCCAAAGTGCTAGGCATGAGCCACCATGCCCAGCCTGTTTTGTTTTTTCTAAATATGGCAGCCCTATCCTAAGACACCTCTACTATCCTGAATGGAAAACAATGATCTGCCAGCTCCCGTTTTGCAAACAGGGAAACTGTAGCCCCAGAGATCACAGAGGATGTCAGGTAAGAACTCAGGAGTCTTGACCCCAGACTGGAACTCTTTGCTTCCATTACACTTAACTTCGCTAAAGGCATGTACCCTCTTGCTAGAGGTGACTGTTAGTCACCTGGAGGTGATTTCAAAGGGGTCACTGAGGTCATAATTTATGACCTCTCTGCTCCACCCCATCCTCACCTCCACCCCCCTTTCTATTGCTGTAGGTATTAACAGAAGCTATCCTGGGTTATGGCCATTCTGGGACCATATCATTAATGGCCACCTCAGGGAGGAAGTGGGCTGTAAGCGGCAGGGTCAGAGACAGCTGTGAGTGAGAGCCCATCATTGGGTAACACAAGGACAAGTGGGATTTGAAACAGGCAAACACCGGGCAAAGCATGTTGGGAGAGGCCCACTTAATTCACAGAGACACTTGGAATTAGCTGTAAATTCTCTGGGAAGAGATCAAGGCAGCGGCATAAACAGCTCAATTAAACTGTTGGCTCAATGCTCAGTGCGCGGTAATGGTCAAAACACAGACTTTAATCTAGATATAGAGGATTATTTCTCGACCCGTAATGAGATTCCTAAGATTAGTTGTACCTGATGTGGAGAGAACAGCAGCTGGCTCAGCGACACTGGGGACAGGCTTACATGTCAGCAGGACTGGGACTCACGTGGAAGCGGCTAACTGGATGCCACAACTTTCCTGGAGCCCCCTCCGGATGCCAGGAAGGCAGGGATGAGTCATGTTCTGCTTCCTCAATTTAAGAGATCTGGGAACAGAACCCCAGAATGCATGTGCTTCAAAAGTACAGCAAGTCAACACAGTATGGCTCTGGCATAAAAACAGACATATAGACCAACGGAAAGAATAGAGCCCAGAAATAAACCCGAGTATATATGGTCAACTAATTTTCAACATGGGCACCAAGAACACACAATGGGGAAAGGACAGTCTTTTCAATAAATGATATTGGGAAAATTGGATTTTCACATGGAAAATAATAAAATTGGACCCTGACCTTACACCAGACACAAAAATCAACTCAATATGAATCAAAGACCTAAATGAAAGACCCAAAGCTGTAAAACTCCTAGAAAAAAAACACGAAAGAAGAGCTCCTTGACACTGGCCTTGGCAATGATTTTTTTGGGGTATCACACCAAAAGCATAGACAATGAAAACAAAAATAAACAAGTGGAACTACATCAAGTTAAAAAGCTTCTGCATAACAAAGGAAACAATCAACAAAATGAATCGGCAGCCTAAAGATTGGGAGGAAACATTTGCAAACCACATATCTGATAAGGGATTAATATTTAAAAGATGTAAGAAACTCACACAACTCAATAGCAAAAGGGTTTTTTGTTTGTTTTGAGATGGAGTCTTGCTCTGTCACCCAGGCTGGAGTGCAGTGGCACGATCTCGGCTCACTGCAACCTCCACCTCCTGGATTCAAGCAATTCTGTGCCTCAGCCTCCTGAGTAGCTGGGATTACAGGCACCCACCACGCCCGGCTACTTTTTTGTATTTTTAGTAGAGATGGGGTTTCACCATCTTGGCCAAGCTGGTCTCGAACTCCTGACCTTGCGATCCACCTGCCTCGGCCTCCCAAAGTGCTGGGATTACAGGTGTGAGTCACCGCGCCTGGCTTTTCTTTTAATTATTAAATAACTCAATTAAAAAATGGGCAAAGGGCTGGGCGCAGTGGCTCATGCCTGTAATCGCAGCCGTTTGGTAAGCCAAAGCAGAACTCAGGATCACCTGAGTTCAGCATTCAAGACCAGCCTGGTCAACATGGTGAAACCTCGTCTCTATTAAAAATACAAAAATTAGCTGGGTGTGGTAGCAGGTGCCGTAATCCCAGCTACTTGGGAGGCCGAGGCAGGATAATTGCTTGAACCTGGGAAGCAGAGGTTGCAGTGAGCTGAGATTGCACCACTGCACTCCAGCCTGGGTGACAAAGCATGACTCCATCTCCAAAAAAAAAAAAAAAAAAAAAAAAAAAATTAAATTAAAATGGGCAAAAGGACCTAAATGGACATTTCTCCCAACAAAGACATATAAAATAGCCATGATATATAGGAAAGGTGCTCAACATCACTAATCAACAGGGAAATGCAAATTAAAACCACAATGAGATACCACCTCCCACCTCTTAGGAGGGCTGTTATCAAAGAGACAAGAGATAACAAGTGTAGGTGAGGGTGTGGAGAAAAGGGAACCTCTGCACACTGTTGATGGGAATGTAAATTAGTGCAGGCATTATGGAAAACAGTATGGAGTTTCCTCAAAAAAATTAAAACTAGAACTGCCATATGACCCAGTAAACTCTCTTCTGGGTATATACCCAAAGAAAATGAAATCAGCATCTCATAGAGATGGTGAACTTCCATTGCAGCAGCTTTCACAATAGCCAAGATACAGAATTAACCTAACATTCACTCAATGGGTGAATGGGTTAAAAAATTGTGGTGGATACTCCATTTACTCTGATGTGATTATTACACATTGCATGCCTGTATTGAAATATCTCATATACCCCATAAATACATACACTTACTATGTACCCATTAAAATTAAAAATATGCTGAGTGCAGTGGCTCACGCCTATAATCCCAGCACTTTGGGAGGCCAAGGTGGGCAGATCACTTGAGCCTAGGAGTTCGAAACAAGCCTGGACAACATGGCAAAAACTTTACAAAAGTCTCTACAAAAAACTTAAAAAGTTGGCCAGGCATGGTGGCACACAACTGTAGTCCCAGCTACGCAGGAGGCTGAGGTGAGAGGATCACTTCAGGCTGGGAGGTTGTGGCTGCAGTGAGCCAAGATCATGCCACTGTACTCCAGCCTGGGTGACAGAGCGAGACCCTGCCTCAAAAATAAATAAATTTTAAAAAAATGATGTACACACAATGGGACACTATCCAGCTTTAGAAAAGGAGATACTGCCATTTGTAATGACATGGATTAATCTGGAAGATGTTCCACTAAATAAGTCAGATACAGAAAGACAAATACTGTTTGACCTCGCTTGTATGTAGAATCTGTTTTTAGAAAGTTGAATACATAGAAACAGAGGGGAATGGTGGTTACCAGAAGAGGGGAGAGGACAAGATGGGGGAGAATGGGGAGATATAGGTCAACGCGTACAGATACGTAGAAAAAATAAGTCTAGAGCTGTAATGTACAGCATGAGGACTCGTTAATAATATTGCGTTGGATACTGGGTATTTGCCAAGAGAATAGATCTTAGGTGCTCTTACTGTGTCCTGAAATTGGTGGGTTCTTGGTCTCACTGACTTCAAGAATGAAGCCGCGGACTCTCGCGGTGAATGTTACGGTTCTTAAAGACGGTGTGTTCAGAGTTTGTTCCTTCTGATGTTCGGATGTGTTGGGAGTTTCTTCCTTCTGGTGGGTTCTTAGTCTCACTGACTTCAAAAATGAAGCCGCGGACCCTCGCGGTGAGTGTTACAGTTCTTAAAGGTGGTGTGTCCAGAGTTTCTTCCTTCTGGTGGGTTCGTGGTCTCGCTGGCTCAGGAGTGAAGCTGCAGACCTTCGCGGTGAGTGTTACAGGTCTTAGCGGCTCGTCTGGAGTTCTTCGTTCCTCCTGGTGGGTTTGTGGTCTCACTGGTTTACAGGAGTGAACCTGCAGACCTTCACAGTGAGTGTTACAGCTCATAAGTGCAGTGTGGACCCAGTGAGCAGCAGCAAGATTTATTGCAAAGAGCCAAAGAACAAAGCTTCCACAGAAGGAAAAGGGACCCCACCAGGTTACTACTGCTAGCTCGGGCAGCCTGCTTTTATTCTCTTATCTGGCCCCACCCACATCCTGCTGATTGGTCCATTTTACAGAGAGCGGATTGGTCCATTTTACAGAGAGCTGATTGGTCCGTTTTGACACGGTGCTGATTGGTGCCTTTACAATCCCTGAGCTAGACACAAAAGTTATCCACCTCCCCCTTAGATTAGCTAGATACAGAGTGTCCACACAAAGGTTCTCCATGTCGCCACCAGAGTAGCTAGATACAGTGTCAATTGGTGCATTCACAAACCCTGAGCTAGACACAGGGTGCTGATTGGTGTCTTTACAAACCTTGAGCTAGATACAGAGTGCCAATTGGTGTATTAACAATCCCTGAGCTAGACATAAAGGTTCTCCAAGTCCCCACCAGATTAGCTAGATACAGCGTGTCAATTGGTGCAATCACAAACCCTGAACTAGACACAGGGTGCTGATTGGTGTGTTTAGAAACCTTAAGCTAGATACAGAGTGCCGATTGGTGTATTTACAATCCCTTAGCTAGACATAAAGGTTCTCCAAGTCCCCACCAGAGTAGCTAGATACAGAGTGTCAATTGATGCATTCACAAACCCTGAACTAGACACAGGGTGCTGATTGGTGTGTTTAGAAACCTTGAGCTAGATACAGAGTGCCGATTGGTGTATTTACAATCCCTTAGCTAGACATAAAGGTTCCCCACCAGACTCAGGAGCCCAGTTGGCTTCACACAGTGGATCCTGTCCCGGGGCTGCAGGTGGAGCTGCCTGCCAGTCCCACGCCGTGTGCCCACACTCCTCAGCCCTTGGGTGGTCGATGGGACTGGGCGCCGTGGAGCAGGGGGCGGCACTCCTCAGGGAGGCTAGGGTGGCGCAGGAGCCTACGGCCGCAGGGGGAGGCTCAGCCATGGCGGGCTGCAGGTCGGGAGCCCTGCCCTGCGGGGAGGCAGCTAAGGCCCGGCGAGAAGTCGAGCACAGCAGCTGCTGGCCCAGGTGCTAAGCCCGGGTCGGCGGGGCCGGCTGGCTGCTCCGAGTGCAGGGCCCGCTGACCCCACGCCCACCCGGAACTCGCGCTGGCCCGCAAGCGCCACGCGCAGCCCCGGTTCCCGCCCACGCCTCTCCTTCCACACCTCCCCGCAAGCTGAGGGAGCCGGAGCCGGCTCTGGCCTCAGCCAACCCAGGAAGGGGCTCCCACAGTGCAGCGGCGGGCTGAAGGGCTCCTCAAGTGCCGCCAAAGTGGGAGCCCAGGCAGAGGAGGCGCCGAGAGCGAGGGAGGGCTGCGAGGACTGCCAGCACGCTGTCACCTCTCATTACCACACACACAAAAAGGTCACTATGTGAGATGATAGGTTAACTTGCTTAATTTGACCGTAAAAATTATTTCACTATGTATATGTATATCAAGACATCATGTTATACATCTTACATATATATATTTTAAACCATAGTAAGTCTGACATGCTCCTACCTCCAGGCCAAGGCTAGCAAGCTGAAGTGGACGGAGATGTCCAGCTGTTACCTTCTGCTCTTCCACCCTCCACGATATCAATTGCTTCCATCCACTCATGCATTCAATAAATAGTTATCATGTGCCTACTATGACTACAGGCACTGTTCTGGACACTGGAGGTATGCAGTGAACAAAAGGGCAAAGATCTCTTTCCCGCTGTGGGGCAAGACAAAGAATAAACAAGAAATATATGTAAAATATACAGTAGGTGAAATGAGGAAGAGAGTTATCGGGAAAATAAAATGAGGAAGAGGGATGGCAAGTGTTGAGCAGGGACCGCAGTTCTAGACACTGTGCCCAGGGGAGGCCTCACTGAGCATGTGACATTTAAATAAAGTCCTGAAGGAAGGCACAAGTGTGCCTAGAGGCTTCAAAGAACAGCAAAGAGGCAGCCTGGCTGCAGCAGGAGAGAGAGGACAGCATAACAGGAGGTTAGGAGTTTAAGGGGACCAAGTCATATAAGGCCTTACGGGCTACTGTAAGAATTTTGGCATTTCCTGTTAGGAAAATCAGGATTCCAGGGGGGATGTGAAGAGAGGAAAGACATAATCACACCCATTTTTAACAGGATCACTGGCTGCTGGGGTGAGATGGAAGCAGGGAAGATGGATAAGAGACTCCCACAATAATCCAGGCAAGAGATGAAGGAGTCTTGGTCCAGGATGGTAACAGTGGAGGGGGTGAGTAGTGGCCAGATTCTGCATATACTTTGCCGACGGGCTGGGTAAAGTAGGAATGAACTAAGGGGTCATGGATGACAGAAGTTTTTGCTTTAGATCTTTACTGAGTTCTAATAACTCCCAAATCTACACCTCCAGTCCAGACTTGTGCCCTGACCCTCACAGCTGTTTATACAGGTAGCTAATGCCAAGTCAACCACCTTCTCCTTCCTGCAGTATCACCTTTCACTGGGAAGTGGTTGGTCACCACTCACTAAGTAGCCCAAAGGCAAAGACTTGAGAGTCAGGCAGAGTCTGTCCTCTAAAATGACTTAACACCCTTTCACTACTTCAACGTTATTTATTCATTCAACAAAAGTACTGAGTGCCTTCTGTGCATTAACTACTGTTCTCTGCACCATTTTCTGGTTCCTTAACATTCCTTTAACTGCTCTGCCTACTTTCTGTCTCTCCCCAAGAAATACAACTTCCACACTGCTTCCCAAATAATCTTTATAAAATGTAGAAAACATAAGGTAATTAATTTCCTTGCTCAAAGACCTTCAATGGCTCCCTATTGCCTACAAGATAAAAAATTCTCCTGAGTTTGATATTGAAAACTCTTCCTGATGTGGTACAGCCTACCTTTCTACCCTTACCCACCATTCCATGCATTCAGAGATTCTCAGCTACTCCACTCCACTTGACAACTCACTATGGCCCAAGTGGTTTACCACATGTTCCTGCTTCTATGCCTTTCACGATGTTGCTCTCTCTCTCTCCGCATGGAATTCTCTCGTCTACTTCTACTATATCATAATGCTACTCACTCTTCAAAGCCCAGACCAGATATCACCTCTACTAAGAACCCACTATGATCTGCCCCGCCCCATAATTAAAATCTCCCTTCCCTATAGCCCCATAGCTCTTTGTCCCTTGTTCTGTCCTGCACTTCTCTCATCTTGCCTTGTATAATTATTGGTGAGAGACTGTGGTCCAGATCATCTCTGCATCCTACAGGGCCTGGTACACAGACAGGGGACTGACGTTAACATTCAATGGACAGAACTGAATAATGTTATCTAAAAGAAGTAGATGAGGCCGGGTGCGGTGGCTCACGCATGTAATCCCAGCACTTTGGGAGGCCAAGGTGGGCGGATCACCTGAGGCCGGGAGTTCATGACCAGCCTGACCAACATGGAGAAACCCCATCTCTACTAAAAATACAAAATTAGCCCAGCATGGTGGCGCATGCCTGTAATCCCAGCTACTCGGGGGCTGAGGCAGGGGAATCACTTGAATCCAGGAGGCGGAGGTTGTGTTGAGCCAACATCACCCCATTGCACTCTAGCCTGGGCAACAAGAGTGAAACTCTGTCTCAAAAAAAAAAAGGCCAGGCGCAGTGGCTCACACCTGTAATCCCAGCACTTTGGGAGGCTGAGGCAGGTGCGTCACGAGGTCAGGAGATCGAGACCATCCTGGCTAACATGGTCTCTGCTAAAAAAATACAAAAAAAATTAGCCGGGCGTCGTGGCAGGGGCCTGTAGTCCCAGCCACTCAGGAGGCTGAGGCAGGAGAATGGCATGAACCTGGGAGGCTGAGCTTGCAGTAAGCGGAGATCGTGCCACTGCACTCCAGCCTGGGTGATAGAGCCAGTCTCTGTCTCAAAAAAAAAAAAGAAGAAGAAGAAGAAGAAGAAGATGAGTCTGTTGGGTTGGTGGTGGCACTATTTTTCTGGACCTGTACAAGTGGCACAGCCTTCCTCCAGATACTGGAAGGAGGTGCAGCAAAGGAGACACCATGCCCCTAGCAGCTTGAGGAGCTCTTGGTCTAAGGTGAGAAGCTGAGATAGAACAGAAACAGAAACAGGGCCATACTCAACCCTTCTAATAAGAAAACTAGGGTGGGACTGGAGGAGGACATGAAAAGCAAAAATTCCAAAAATGATGGGCACAGTTTACAGCATCACATAATAATGAGTTTGTGATGTCAAGAGACTGGGGACCAATCCTAGCTGTGCCTCTTGATTTAATCTCTTCCCTTCACTGGTCCCAGTTTGCCCTCTGTAAAATGGAGTGGCTGGATCTCTGAAAAGAGAGTCTGTCCAGCTCTTACTTCCTATAATGCTCTAATACTTCTACAAGTGTTTGTCTTCCTAAACCGTTTGGCAAAGTCCTTAGGAAGCTTTTTCTATTTCCCTTCAGAATGATTATTTCGGACTCTGAGTCTTGGATGGTCGTCTCTACAAGCTCCCAAAGGAAAACACCCATGTGGTTTTTGCCTGCTTGAGGTAAATACCACCTTAGGCCAACTACCCCATCTGTAAACTGGGAATAACACCAGATTGCAGGGATGTTGAGGAGGGTTAATTATATACAGAGTGTCTAAGGGTTGAGCAGATACACAAGTGCTCTGGAAGTTCTTGGCATAATACTATAGCATTACAATAATTCTGGCTTGCAAATTATACCCCAGCAGAGGTATCACATGGAAAAGTGGATCCGACTCTACGGCCTGATGAAAGTGACATGGAAAAAATAAGTTATGAAATATAACTTCTCTTCCTGAACTTTTGGAAAAGGCAGAGATAACCTTTCCATGTGCAAGACACATGCAGGGAGCAAGCTTCCAGATTCTGGTGAGGACTTTCTTGTCTCAGGTGGCCTGGCCTATTGCCAGGATCTGAGCCCAGAAGTAGAAATGGGAAGGAAGGGAGCTGGGGAGGATTTGTGGTTGGATGAAAGGTGGGGCTTAAAACAAGGATGTCCTTGCCTTTCAGGTTTTCTACTGGGGCCTCCTTACGTGCAAGATAATTAAGTGCCAATGCGACAGAGGAACAATTTAAAGGGTAACGGAGATACTTAAGTCTAGGTATATTCAAAATAAACATCCTAGCCAGGTCAACTTCTGGGTCCTCTCTGCATGCCCCAGACACATCACATCTCTCTCTCTCTCTCTCTCTCTCTCTCTCTCTCTCTCACACACACACACACACACACACACACACACATCCCTTAGATTATTTCCTGTGAAATGCTAAGTAAATAGATCTCAGGCAATGAAGATGCTCTGTAGCTGGTGATAGTATCTGCGACTGTGAGACGTCACATAGTGGGTTTGGAAAATTCAACTGGCCACAGAGGATGACAGTTTTGTCTGACCAAGGAGGGAAAGGGCAAATAGCTTGATTCTGGAATAACAAATTTGAAGTCAATTTCACTTTACCACTGTGTATGGCTGAGCAGACAGAGGTCAGCTTCAGGATAAGACCGAGTTCAAGTCCTGCTTCTATCACTTCTGTGCTGTGGCCTCAGGCATGAGTCTGGGTGGGTTACAGAGAGGAAGCAGTAACAGCTCTCAGGCCTTCCCTGTCCAAATGTCTCAGATTGAAATCTGAGTTTGACCTCTACTTCCAGCGTGGCCAGAACTATGATGTGATCAAAAGAGCCCCTGGCCTTGCTGTCTGCCCTCACAGTTCCCACTGTTACTACAGGATATGGGAAAAACAGACTCCCCCAAAGCACATCTATAACAGACAGACAGCAAATGCAGATTATTGATTTGGGCTATTGTTTTAGTAAATCAACATTCTTAGAGAATTTCTCAGCTCTCAGGTGCCCACATCTTAGAGTTAAGTCACATTTTGAGGGTTGCCCAGGCAAATTCAAAGCAGCACCAGGCCCTAGTGGCAGCTACTTCATCTTTAGGCAGCATTTCCCTCTCAACAGGGAGCATGCCACCTCCCCTGGGTGCAGATCCCAGGAAAAGTTACACTGACCAAATCAGGCCACTCCCTGGGACTGTTTCCTCAATTTTGGTTAATAATCAAAGGATGATCTGAAATCGCAAAGAAGAGACTCTTGGAAAAGACATAATTATGGTGCCACCCGACTTAGGAACTGGCATCCAAGTCCACCTGTGTGACTTTCCTCTGGGCCTCAGTTTCTCCATCTGTAAAATGAGGTCCTGTATTTATTTTTTGAGACGGAATCTCCCTCTGTCGCCCAGGCTGGAGTGAAGTGGTGTGATCTCGGCTCACTGCAACCTCTGCCTCCCAGGTTCAAGCAATTCTCTGCCTCAGCCTTCCGAGTAGCTGCTGGGATTACAGGTACCCGCCACCACACCCGGCTAATTTTTGTATTTTTAGTAGAGACGGGGTTTCACCATCTTGGCCAGGCTGGTATTAAACTCCTGACCTCGTGATCCACCCGCCTCGGCCTCCCAAAGTGCTGGGATTACAGGCGTGAGACACCGCACCCGGCCGAGGTCCTGTATTAAATGGATCCTTGCCAGCTCCTACAACATAAGGCATTAAATGTTCCCACAACTTGCTCCCCGCCGGCTGGCAGCGAACAGGGCTAAAGCCTCGACTTCCTCAGAGGTGAAAAGGTAAGCAAACATTCCGACCTCCCCTAGCCTTGCTCTCGGATTGGTGCTGGGCCCGGCTCCCACCGCCTATCCCGACCACATCCGTCATCTGGACTGCTAATACACTCATTAGCATAAAGATTCCTCCGAAGACCTGGCGCACGGGGCTGAACCGGAGTCTGTCCCTTTAAGGAAGAGGGACAGCCACTCTGTCCCTAAGGGCACTAGGCACTGCATTTCCTCCACACGGGCCACGCTGTAAACTAGACAGGTTCCGTGTTAATCCACTCTCCCTCCTCAACCCCGACAGGGGGATCCCTGGAGTGAACAACGCGCGGGGTCCCGGGGGACTGCGGAAAGGTTTGGCCTCTGCGCGTAGCAGGCTCCGCCAGGCAACCTCTCGCCCGAGGCGGCGGCGAGCTGCAAGCTAGGTGGAGCCGGCTGCGCGGCGGGACCCCAGCGCCCTGGGGCAAGACCCTGGTGCTGGCGCCAGGGCAGCCGCGGGAGGTGGCGTGTGCAGGAGCGGAGAGGTGCGCCCACCCCGGCCCCGGGCGCGAGGGGGGCGGGGCTTGGGCCGCGGCCCGGGGCCAGGCTCGCGGGGATGGGCGGTGCTGGGTCTGCGGGAGCGGGCGGGGGGCGGGGCGCGCGAGCGGGCTCCGGGGGGGCGGGGCGGCGGCGCGGGGCGGGCTCTGGCGGCCTGAGTGTCACACACGCGGCGGCTCGGGAGGCGGCGGCAGTGGCAGCGACAGGCGCCGCCGGGACGGGCACGGGCGCGCGGGCTCCGGCGGGCGCCGGCTGCCTTCCTCCGTCGCTCGCTGTCTCTCCCGGCCGCATTCTCCTCCGCTGCGGGGCCGAGCTCTCCCCAGCGCTCGCAGGAAGGAAGAAGGGAGCCGAGGACGCCGAGAAGTTCCCGCGGCAGCCGCGGATCCCGGCCAAGGCGGAGGCTGCGGCTCCGACGGGGCAGGAGCGCGATCCACGGCGAGGGGCGTACGGCCAAAGGGTCCGCGGCGTGGAGCGCTCGGACCTTCCGCTCTCCCCCGGGCGTGGGCCGGGACCCCATGAGACGCGCCCACGAGGGGCGCGAGATTCCTAGCTTGGGCGGCGCTAGGCGGAGGGAGGTGTTGCAGCCGCCGGAGCCAGAGAGCTGCCGGCAGGAGGCGGCGGCGGCAAGAACTTGAACTTGGCGTCGGGAGCGGGCGCCCCGGACGCCCCCCGCCGGGGCCGGGGCGCCGAGGGACCTGCGCCGCAGCGCTGCCCCCCGAATGGCCGCGGCGGCGGACCGGGCTCCCGCGCCGCGGCCCTAGGCGGCCTCTCGCCATGGCCAAGTGGCTAAACAAGTACTTCAGCTTGGGCAACAGCAAGACCAAGAGCCCCCCGCAGCCGCCGCGGCCAGACTACCGCGAGCAGCGGCGCCGAGGCGAGCGGCCTTCGCAGCCCCCCCAGGCCGTGCCGCAGGCCTCCTCCGCCGCCTCGGCGTCCTGCGGTCCGGCCACCGCCTCCTGCTTCTCAGCCTCTTCGGGCTCGCTGCCCGACGACAGCGGCAGCACCAGCGACCTCATCCGCGCCTACCGCGCGCAGAAGGAGCGAGACTTCGAGGACCCCTACAACGGGCCTGGCTCGTCGCTGCGCAAACTGCGCGCCATGTGCCGCCTGGACTACTGCGGCGGCAGCGGGGAGCCAGGCGGGGTCCAGCGCGCCTTCTCGGCCTCGTCCGCGTCGGGCGCCGCGGGCTGTTGCTGCGCCTCCTCGGGCGCGGGGGCCGCCGCGTCCTCGTCCTCGTCCTCCGGCTCTCCGCATCTCTACCGCAGCAGCAGCGAGCGGCGGCCCGCCACGCCGGCCGAGGTGCGCTACATCTCCCCCAAGCACCGCCTCATCAAAGTGGAGAGCGCCGCGGGCGGTGGGGCCGGGGACCCCCTGGGGGGCGCCTGCGCGGGCGGCCGCACCTGGAGCCCGACGGCCTGCGGAGGCAAGAAACTGCTCAACAAGTGCGCCGCCTCAGCCGCGGAGGAGAGCGGGGCCGGCAAGAAGGACAAGGTAAGGTGCCCCTTGGCCTCTTCCCGAGGTTCCAGAGCCACGGTGCGCACGGGGAAACCGAGGCACCCGCCGCTCTGGTGTTGAGTCTCTACTTCAGCTTCGGCCTAGGACCCTGGGTCGGGGCTGGCGTGCTGCTTCCCGCTTCTGCCTCCTCCCGCGCCCTTTTCCTGGGACCGGCGGCCTCCTGACCCCACCTCTTTCGCCGCTGCTTCCAGAACGTCCCCTCTGAGCGAGAGCGCCCGGCCCAGCCTTGCCCCAGGAAGACGGACCCAGTCAGTCCTTCTGGCTGCCAAGGAGTAAAGTCAGAGTCAGAGCTGTCTAGGACTTCGAAGAGCTTTGACTCCTGACACCCCTTATCCCAGCCTCCACCCTCCGCTCACGCTGTAGGTGGGAAACTGAGGTCCAGAGCAAGGAAGGGACTCGCCCAATATTACACAGCTTTCTTGGTGGCAGATCCGGACCGGCTGTCTCCAGCGTGTATATGTAAATCTCTCGCGGCTGCCCTGCCCGGCCCTGCCCTGCCCCACCCCCAGCTCTAGGTTTCCAAATCCGGGCTGCCTGGTACCGGAGCTGCTCCGGGAACCTCCACGCGTGCTTTTCCGGTTGAAATGCGCTGCCTGCAAGAGCGCTCCTCATCGAACCCGTCAGTTCCTCCCGCTGCGCGCGGGAGGGGGTCAGCCTATCAGGCCCGGCTGGAAGGAGACCCCACCCCTCCTATCCTCACCTGCTTCCTTCCTGACCTCACCCCTACCCCATAAGGTCCCAGGAACACGGGGGGACTTTGTGACAGCCCCCTTCCTAACGCATTAGGCCACCTAGATTCCTCCCTTTGAAGCAGACGAGTTAATTACAGCCAGACTAGGTCCCCTCCTCCCCCTTCACACTCCTGTGAAGCCCTCCCTTCCCCCATAAAATAATACTTGTTCTGTCTTCTGGTGGAAGGCAGTGTTTTGATTAAATCTGAGGCCCGGTGGGAGAGCTCCTTCCTTCTCAGCGCCCTGGTGCGTGGCTGTTGTTCTCCCCACCTTCTTCCCCCAAAGGTAAACCTTTGCCCAGGCCTGGGCTGGGGGAGACTGATTAAGAGTCTGAGTTCCTTTTAGGACTGGATGTCCAGACAGGAGGGAGACAGGCTCTTACCTGCCATCTGGTGCTTGGAAAGGGATCTTTTTTGTTTGCCAGGAGAGAGGAGGAAGGGAATGTCCCTCTAGTTTTTCTGCCTGGCCTCCCCTCCCCGAGGTCCCCAGAATATCCCCTCCCCTGTTTGATCTGCATGGGCAGTCCGTGGAAGATCCCACCTCTCCCTGGAGGCAGTTTGGGGCACCCCTCGGAAGCTTGGACTCTGGGTTTCTAAAGCACCTAGGATGCCACACCTAGATGACGACTAGCTGGGAGCCAGGTGGCTACCTAGGAGCTGCTTTGGGAGAGGGGGCAGATTTCCCTGGGAGCCACCAGGACCCTGGGCCTGTGTTTGGTCAGTGAGGGAAACACCAGATAGGCTCCGTGCAGTCTTATGCATGGCTGAAGCTTGGCTTGGTGCAGGCACTGGGGAAACCTGGAGGTCTTGTATATAAAAGGCACGAGAGGGTCACGGCTAACTGCACTGGACTTTATGCATCCTCCTTGTTACCCTGCAGCCACACCCCAGGTGGGCAGATCTCCTTTCTCTTCCACTGCTAGTGGTTCAAAACTTCAGTAAACATTTTTTCCCAGTTACAGTTAAGACTGTTTCAAACACTAAGGAATGATTTGTTTTATAGCCAGGATGTCAAGATATTTAAGACTTGACTCTTTTCATCACCAGATATTTCTTACGGGTCTTCTCTGTGTCCTCCCCTGCTGGGTGCTGGAGCAGGGACCCTCTGCAGCGAATGCTATGACAGAGGCCATAGTGGCGTGATGGTGATGAGTGCTATGATGAGACCTCGTGTTACAGGGTTACAGGAGGGATGAAGGGCAAGGGAGAGGTTGGGGGGTGTGGCATCGAGGAGTGCACCTTGGAGGCAGGGCCATTATTGTGAGGGAGGGGTGGTCACCATGGTTGGCTGGAGAAGAACCCTGTGCTTCAGGGAACTGCAGGTGAAGTCCCTTGTGGCTGAAATTGAGAGGTTAAGAGTTGGGCAGGGCCTGAGTCAGGGAGGACCTTGTAGGCTAAGCACAGAGGGGGCCTGTGAAGGGATTTAGCTGCGAGAGTGTTGTGATCAGATATGGTTTTTTAGAAGATCTCTCTGGGTTACTTTTCACCTACTAGGTTGTGACTGCGAGACCTTTGATCTTTTGAGAAGTTGTCCAGATGTTCTTTCTACCCAGGAGGGAGGAGGCAGCCAGGGAGGCTCAGCAGGACGTTATAGTGCAGCGATCCTCAAACTTTAGTGCACCTATAGGGCTGGTTACAACAGATTGCTGGGGCCCATCCTGCAGCGTCTGATTGAGCATGCCTGGTGGGGGACCTGAGTGTTTGCATTCCATCATTTCCCAGGTTGAGGGGAAATGGCTGAGGGTCCTGGGACCATGGTTTGAAAACCACTCATGCAACAGTGGCTTCTCCTTAACTGTCCCTCTGGGTCTTCTGGTCAGGGCAGCCTTGGGATGCAGAGACTCTGGATGCCCTTGTTTCTGCCATCTGTGTGTGGCTACCTCCTGATCCTGGGCCAGCACCCCTCCACCTCCACCCCATCAGGCAGTCAGGAAGCAGTTGTTTTCACATTATTTCCAGCCAGACAGCTTTTGGGAGGCCAGGCACACTGTAGATCCGGCCTTCCTTCTGCCCCTCACTCATGGATCCAGGAAAACCACTTCTGGCACCTCATTTAGTCTTTATCTATTGTTAGAGGTCTCACTCTGTCACCTAGGCTGGAGTGCAGTTATGGCTCACTGCAGCCTCAACCTCCCAGCCTCAAGCAATCCTCCCGCCTTAGCCTCCTGAGTAACTGGGGCCATGTACTGTCACGCCTGGCTAATTTTTTTTATTTGTAGAGAGGAGGTCTCTCTGTGTTGCCCAGGCTCCTGGGCTCAAGCAATCCTCCTGCCTTGGCCTCCCAAAGTGCTGGGATTACAAGTGAGAACCACGGCACCCTGCCAACTTTTCCATTTAGAATTATTTGGAAGAGAAACTAGCCTTACTCTACTGGTTTCTCCCCTAACATAGCCCACTTTTTCCAGCATTTACTTTGTACTCAGAGATGTCTTGGTACAAGTGTGAGTGAGGAGGGGAGGTAGTGAAGGATGCAGGAGACTTGTCCATGATCTCTGGCCTGAGCTCCTGGAGGAGATTGACAGGAATTTCATCCTTTGTTTCCCAGTGTTTTTATCTTGAAGAATTTGGGAAGTTCATCACCTAGAAGGTGGCTTTGAGCTGGATCTAGGGTTGGAAGTGGAATCTCAGCTCAGGGGAGAGGGTGACTGCACGCTGCAGGAGTGCTTATGTGTCAGGGTGTGTATATGTAAGTGTATACATGTGTGTGAACATAGACGTGTGTGTATGTGTATAAAATCTCAATGTGAGGCCTGTTCTTGGAAAGCAGCACTTTCATGCAGCTGGGCCTTGTTTGGGGAATGAGAGATGACAGTGTGAGAGAGGTAGGGGCTTGAAGTTGGACCCCACAGGGGAGACCTTGAAGGTTGTTGAGCCAGGGAAGGGATGTACTCAGAGCCATGGTGGAGGGGCATCCAGGCTATAAACAGCTGCCAAAATCTGGGGAAAATAGGATCAAAGTTAGGGGACAGTTGTAGTTCTGGTGAGAGACGGTGAGGTCCCGAGCTCCTGGGATGAGAAAACGAAACTGGAATAGGTAGACACAGTATTCCTTCAAGTTGTGCTTTATGAAAAAAAAAAAAAATGATGACAAAAGAGGCCAGTTACTTTGGTAGGTCTCCTTTTGTGCAGCCAAACAGGTCTCATCCAGTTATATTTTCTGCTGAAGTCTTGTTTCTTTTATTATAATTAAATAAATGTTGTTTCCACCACAACTAAGTCAGGAGCATCATGACATCAGTTTTCCCAGGTTTTAAATACATACTAATGTGTACCAACACTTTATATTTTGTCAGCATCCAGAGTTGAGTTAAATAACACTTTTTCCATAGTTACAGAATAAATAATATCATGTCTAACTTTAAAAAAAAAAAAAAAAAAACATCCAGCAAACAGTTTCTAAACTGCCTGCTAGGCAGAGGGAATTCAGAGAGAAGTAAGTGGTGGCTAACTTTCCAAAAAGGAAGCTTCTCAGTTTGCAGTTGAATACCAGCTTCTCCCGGTCTAGTCAGGGAGACAGATACAACCAGAGAGACAATATCACAACCCGAGGAATGCCAGAAGTGTGTGCACAGGGTTGGGAGGGCCTGAACTTGGCTGGGAAGCCAAAGAGGGCCTTCAGCAGAAGGCCACTCTTGAGCTGAGTGTAGAAGGCTGAGTGGGAATTCCCAAGGCAGGGGAGTGGGGAAGAGGGCTTTTCATGCAGAAGGAATAAAGCAGCCTGTGCCATGGCCTGGAGGCTGGAGAGGATGGCTGGGGGCAGCAGGGCAGGTGTGGTGGGAGACTGCAGAAGGAGGTTGGAGCCCACAAAGGGAAGAAAGTCCCATGTGCCTTGCTGCGGAGTTGTGAATTATCATTTGTCCTGTTTCACATAAAATCATTGATGTAGGGCTTGATTGAAGCCGGGGTCAAACATGAGTTGTCAGTCATTCCCATTTGATGAACAGCCACACTCTCCAGTTCTTAAAATATCACTAATGGCAAAGGTCAGGGTTGCACTTGATAGCTGTGGTTTGGCTTGGGACACTTTCCCCTTTGAAGTCCCATCCCCTGAAAGCAGTGTGAGAGAAATGCTGCGTATCAAATCCAGTTTTTCCTGGTTGATTCCCCAGAAGGGAAATACATTCCCCAGGCTTCATAGTAACCACTTAATCGGTCATTTAATCCTCACTGTCCCACTGGGAGAGGCTTGAGTACTGTATTAGCTGTTGCTACATAACAAATCACCCCAAAACCGCCCGTGGTTTGATTGTGGGCCATGCTGTCTCTATTGTAGCTCTTCAGCTCTGCCACTGTAGCTTGAAAGCAGCCATAGACAATATGGAAATTAATGGGAACAGCTGTATCCCAATAAAACTTTATTTACAAAAACAGGCAGCTGGCCTGTGCGCTCTAGCTTCCAACCCCTGCTTTAAACGATAAGGTTTTATTATAGCCAAGAGCCTGCATATCTGAGTCATTTTTCTAGTCTCAGTTGGGCTCACTCATGCCTTTGCAGTCACTGGGGGTGGGGTGGGTATGCAGCCCTGCTGATCCTGGCTAGGCTTTCTTACGTGTTTGGTGGGCTGGTTTAGGATGGCCTTGGGCTGCAACAATTCAGCTCTGTTCCGTGTGGTCTCTCCTCCTCCAGCACATGTTCATATGACGGCAGCAGGGTTCCAAGAAAAAGCAGGAGCGCATAAGGTCTCTTGAGGTTGGAAACTGGCATGGTGACCCTTCTGCTGCATTCTGTTGACTAAAGCAAATCATAAGGCCAGCCACAATTCAAGGAGAGAGGAGGAGCTGCAGTGTCCCATGGCAAAGGGCAGGGATACAGGCAAGCCATTAATTAGGGCCTTCGATGCCATCATCTACCTTATCCCCATATTCCGGATAAAGAAACTGAGGCTTAGAGAGGTTGATGACTTGCCTAATGTCACACAGCTGCAAAGTGATAGAGCAAGGATCACACCAGTGCAGTCTTGAGTTCAAAACCTATATGCTTCCTCTATTTTCCGTGGTTTCAATGGAAATAAGTAGTATGAGGCTTGGATATTTACTGGAATATATGTTACATGTCTCCTCCTCCCCTTTACTTAATGCTACTCTTCTTGCATCCCTCTGCTGTAATTTCTCCGCTTTCAGCCTTTGCTTTGGTGTCCCTAGAAGAGGCCCTAGAGCTGGCTTTTCTGTTTCTCTGTCTCCCATCTGCCTCAGAGTTCCAGAAATGAGATGTTAATGCAGCACTTGAGTTATTTTATAGAGAAATTCTGAGCACAGAGTTGGCACATCCCAAGGGACAGCTGCACAAAACGTGAGTCTTGTAACTGTCATGTCTTCTCATTCTAACACCAAGCATTCCTTCCCTTCAAGGATTTGCCGGGCTGTGTGTGCTCTGTTTGGAGGAAGAGACTGGCGGTACATTGGCCCTGATCAACAAGGAACTTAAGTTTCCTTGAAGGAGATCAGGTGACTGTCCTCTCTAATCTGACAATCTCAGAACATGACTGATTACCCCAGGGCTTAACCCCCATGACTTGACCCTATCCTCTCTTTGCCCCCAGAGCATTTCTGACCCATAAAAATTAGCTTTAAAAGTCAAATCTGAAACAGCTGTGGTTTCTTCTGATCAGTCAGCAAGGTCTAACTTGCCTGTGGTCAAGCCTTCCCCTGATTAGCTTAGCTTGTGCTGGGAGAGCCCAGAAGTGGTGGCCTGTGGGGAATGGGTAGGCCAGGCTTGGCCCTAGAAAATAAACTGGGACGTGTGACTTTCCAACAGAGCTCGCATGCTGGCTGGCTGACGGCAACACACCCTGTGGCTTTGTGAGGTTGGTTGATGGTGGTGGTAGGGGTGATGTATTTTCTATTTCTTTTTTTTTTTTTTTTTGAGACAGGATCTCACTCCTGTCCCCCATACTGGAGTGAGTGGCACGATTACAGCTCACTGCAGCCTCAACTTCCCAGGCTCAGGCGATTCTCCCACCTCAGCCTCTCAAGTAGCTGGGACTATAGTCACACGCCAGCACACCCAACTAATGTTTGTATTTTTTTATTGCCCAGGCTGATCTCAAACTCCTGGGCTCAAGTGATCCGTCTGCCTTGGCCTCCCAAAGTGCTGGGATTACAGGTGTGAGCCACTGTGCCCAGAAGGTTGTGCATTTTCCGCAGGACAAAGGTGGTGGTCGTCTCTGACTTCCTAGCTTTCATTTGGCCTGTGCTGACTGAGCAATTGCTATATGCAGGCCACCATCAGGAGCTGTGTGGATACAGGGATGAACCAGGGCCTGGATAGTGCCCGCCCCTGAAAAGCTTATCTTTTGGTTGAGGACACAGGAACCAAGGTTGAAACCCACATCTGTATGTCAGAATTTATCTGTAAATAAAGTGGTGTGGGTGAGCTAAAAGCTGTCTTGGCACAGAGACTGTTCTGGGCAGGGCCTTGATTTCATGGAGCCACAGGAGATGCAGGGTGAGGAGGAGGTATTTGAGTAAAAAAGGTACAATCACTTGAATTAAGGGAGTTTTCCACTACAGTAATATTAGCTAATACTTTTATTATACATACTCTGAGCTAGGTGCAGTTCTGTGTGCTTTGTATGTAACTTTACTCCTCACTACAGTCCTTTGAGGTAGCTACTACTACTGCTACTTCTATTTTCATTTTTACATATGAGGAAACCAAGGCACAGACAGGTTAAGTCACTTGTCTAAAGTCAGGTCGGTGGTTCATGCCTGTAATCCCAGCACTTCCTGTAATCCCAGCACATTGGGAGGCCAAGGTGGATCACCTAAGGTCGGGAGTTGGAGACCAGCCTGGCCAACATGGTGAAACACTGTCTCTATTAAAAATACAAAAATTAGCTCGGCGTGTTGGCACATGTCTGTAATCCCAGCTACTTGGGAGGCTGAGGTGGGAGAATTGCTTGAACCCGGGAGGCAGAGGTTGTAGTGAGCCGAGATCAGGCCACTGCACTCCAGCCTGGGCACCAAAGCGAGACACTATCTCAAAAAATAATAATAATAATAATAAAGTCAGACAGCCAGTAAGTGGCAGAGATGAGATGTGAAGCCAGATCTAGCATCTGTTTGTAACCACTGTGCCATACTACCTCAAGCTGCACAATCCCATGCCTGAATTTGCTTTATCATCTCTGCCTTATTTGTGGCTAGACTTACTCTTTGTAAAATGTCCCCTCTGTTGGCATGGTAGAAGTGACTGATTCCAACATTTATGTAAGTATTCCACAGCTTAAAGGGCACTTTCACACCGGTAATTTGTTTGCTTCTCAGAGCCACTCTGCGAGGAATGGGCTGTAATCTCCCCTTTGCAGATGGAGAAACAGAGGCTCATGGGGAGGAGTGCATTCTTCCCTGCCTCACAGCAGAGGCAGAGCTGGTGGCCAGTACCTGCTGTGTGTGTTGACCTTGTGTTGAGGCCAGTGCCCTTTGTGCCGGGGTGGTGTGGAGGTGGCGTGGCCGAATCTGGAGTCTACAGGAAGGGTGACAGCCTGATTGATTTCCGCTTCTTCCCGTGTTTTGATTCTGAAACACTTTGCTGAGACCATTAAGGAGCATCGACAGAGGACCTTGCTTCCACAATGGAATTTTCCTTCTCTTCCTGTTTGGTATTTTCCAGTAATATTTCTATTAATGTTTCACTTTCAGCGGCACTAACTTCCTGAGAGTTTGAGCTTTCCTAACTCCCGAGGCAGGAAGAACTGAATTTTCCTCTAAATCATTCAGTTCCTTTCCAGTTTCTCCAAGGGGAGCTGTCTCTGGATTTCCCATTATGCTGTAAAGGAAGGATCTTGGAGGTGGGTCCAGGGGATGGAGAGAGAATTAGAGCCCCACTGAGTGACTCAGGCCCAGTGTTTTCCAAGCAACACGTAATACTCCTGGTCAGAAAGGGGCTTCCCACGGCCGAGGAGGGGAGAGTGACTCGACAGGTGGGTGGGTGGGTGGGGGAAGCGAATTCCCTGGCCCACTGCCGGGCCTTGACTTACAGGCTGGACCCAGAGTTCCCAGGGGGCTGTGAGAGCCCATGCCAAGTCCTTTCTTCTCATTCATTCATTCATTCATTCAGTAGACACTGTTGAGAGCCTGCTGTGTGTTGGGGATTGTTCTGTTTAGGTGCTGGGAATAGAGCCATGAACAAAGCAGATAAGAGTCTATGCTCCCCTGAGCTTGCTCTCTCATGACAGGAGTCAAGTAAATACAGTTACGTCAGGGGTGGGGACTGTGGAGGAAAGTAAAGAGGAATAAAGAGGCGATGGCAAACGTGAATTTGGGGTGGGATGCTTTTTATGTGGGTGCTCAGAGAGGGCCTTGCTAAGAGTTGTGATGGCATGAACCACCCCGCTCTCCAAGGACGGCATTCCAGGCAGAGGGAAGAAGAACAGTGCAGAAGCCTGAGGCAGTAGCATGCCTCGGTGGTTCAGGGAGCAATGCAGAGATCTATATGACTGAGCGGAGCAGGTGAGGAGGAGGTATGAAGGCAGCTGAGGGCTGAGAGGTGTGGGGCAGAGGATGTCGGAACTCACAAGCATTGAAGAGGCCTTCCTCGCTAACCCTGCATGAGATGGGGGCAGCAGAGGGTTCTGAGCAGAGAAGCCAGCCACGCATCTGACTTGGGTTTTTAAAGGGTGGCTCTGGAGATTCTAGAGCAGAGAGGGCACCAGCAGGCAGACCACTGAAAGCAGGGCTTTGACAGCAGGTGATGAGAAGAGGGGCAGATTCCAGCGTGTGGTGAAATTGGGCCTCAGGATTTCCTGGCAGAGATGAGGGAGAAGAGCCAGGATGGCTGCAGGGTTTTGGCCCCGAGCAGCCACTGATGCAGTAGATTCAGCAGCTGAGGCCTAGGGGTCCAGAGTGGGACACTCTCTGCCCTCTGGGGTCAGGAGGTGCCTGAGATCCCAGGGAAGAAATGGATGGCCCTCTGTCTGGGTCTGTGGGAGGAAATGGGGAAAACCGTCAGGAAGAGGAGGCCTCATGGGAGATGGGTCCAGAGGAAGGTGTGGATGGGGCATCCAAGACAGAGGGGATCCCATCTACAGTGGCTGAGATTGGAAGGGGAACTCTGCTGTGTGCAGTCAGGGGTGGCCAGAGCTTGGGGCATGCCATGGTATATTTGCCAGGGATAGAGGAAGGTGGCAAAGGGCCAGGCCCTGCCTGCCACTAGTCTGAAATTGCCCCAGTACTCCTAATTCAAAAGAGGCCACCTGCTATGTTGCATGGCTGAGCTGGGCACCACAGGGCGGTGGAGACAGTGCAGCGATTAAGTCTCCAGGGACAGGGCTGGAGCAGCCACTGTTTTGCTCAGCAGAACATTTCATTGCTGGCTGCTTCTGATAGGAAGTGGTCCCTTATATTGTGGGTTCACTGGTACATGGGCTATGGGGAGAATGCAAACAGAACTAGGAGGAATGAGAGTCTGCAGGTTTCTCCAGGCCACGGCTAAATTCTAAAAATGAAAATCATCAGAAAGTTCTTAACAGTGAAACTTTACCATCTTGTTGGATGTGCACTCCCAGAAAGCCAGACAGCCCGGTAATCCCTCTGGTGCATTCCAAAGCCACACATGTGATCGGGGACTGCATGGCATTTGCGGAATGGCATGGTGCCTACCTGCCCTGTGTGGGGCCCTTGCAAGTTGGCTGTGCTCTGAGCCGGTTCCTCAGAAAGGGACCAGCTTGCATTTTGAGCTGTAGTTCCACATTTATCTTTTGACTAACCTTTTACCCCTTATAACAAAATTAAGACAAGTTTGGTATAGAAAATAATAAGTAAGCAAAACTCAGAAACCAACCCTAATTCCGTAATTCAAAGAAACCACCATTAACATTTTACTACTTTTTCATCTAGCCATTTTTCATTGCATATATATATATGTTTATTTTTCTCGCCACAAAAATTAAGTGATACCGTCTATATTTTTTTAAACGTAAAGACATGGAAAGATGTCTACAATATCTTAAATATTTAACAACTGTAATTTAATAGCTGCATTGTATTCTGTTCACATGTTGGGCTTTTCCTCGTTTTCACCAATTTAACAGTGCCGTAATGAACATCTTTGTAACTTAATTCTTTGCATAGGTCTGTGATTATTTCCTTGGGGTTGATTCTGAGAATTGTTGGATAAGACAGTAAAAAGTCTGATACATACTTTCAAATTGTGTTCTAGAAAGACCTTACAAGTTGACACCTGTTTTACCCTTCTCACACAATCCTCGGAATTCTAATGCAAGTTAGTTGCATTTGCAGTTTCCTGGATTCCTGGTGCAAATGTGTGTTGACCATTTGTGTTGCTTTTCCAAAACTGTTTACTTTATCATCTGTTCATCCTTTTCTGCTGCAGGGTTTTGTCTGTTGATTTGTAAGAACTCTTTGTGGATTAACAATAGCAGCCCCTTACCTGCCATTTGGGTTGCAGAACATTTTTTAAAGTTTGTAATTTGCCTTTTGGTTCTATATGTGGCAATTGTTGTTGGTTACAATGAATTGTTTTCTATTTAATCAGTCTCCACCTTCATGATTTCTTGAGCATGCTGCTGAGAAAAGTCTTCCCATGTGGGCGCGGTGGCTCACGCCTATAATCCCAGTACTTTGGGAGACTGAGGCGGGTGGATCACATGAGCTCAGGATTCAAGACCAGCCTGGGCAGCATGGCAAAAACCTGTCTCTACTAAAAATACAGAAAATTACCTGTGTGTGGTGGCATCCCCCTGTAGTCCCAGCTACTTTAGAGGCTGAGGCACGAGAATTGCTTGAACCCAGGAGACAGAGGTTGCAGTGAACTGAGATTGCGCCAGTGTATTCCAGCCTGGAAGACAGAGCAAGACTCTGTCTCAAAAAAACAAAGTCTTCCCTACTGTAGTATTTATATTTTCTTCTAATACTTTGATGGATTTTTTTTTTACATTAAAATTTCCATCCCCCTAGAGTTTGATTTCATTGTATGAGGTATGGTTGTCATCTTATTTTCCAAATGGCTAGTGTGTGTCTGGGTACCCTGTATTGCTTGCTCATGATCTTCAGGTACCTTTTGAGACTTAAATATTTTGACTCCATCTTGCCCTGACAGTGTTTAGGTCTCATCAGTGATTATGATAATGATGATGAAGGCCTGTCTTTATAAAATGACAACTTTCTTCTGCAGATACCCATGCGCTTATTACACATTCAACTCCTGACATCTGAGGAAAGTAACTAGGTATTAACTAGGGCTTCATCTTTACCCACCACAGCAGAATGCCAAACCTGCTGTGGTGTGTGGGATGTGGCCAAGACAGCCTTGTCTTGCCTCTGGTGGAGTCGGCATCCTCCTCTGATACCGGAGGCTGGGCTGTCTAGGTGTATTTGAGGCAATCACGGTGGTCTGCCCTGCCCATGTGGCTTGAGCCAAGCGAGTGTTTCAGTTTTCACAGAGTGGGTGTAGCGTTCAGTCATCCAACCATATTCCAGCACTGGGCTGAGTCCTATGGAACAATCAGAGACAGTTAAGCCTGGGTGCTCTAGCTGAGAGCCCAGGAGTGGGTATTGGAGAGGGAGGAATTCATTGCCAGCATAGGCAGGCAGGTAAATGACTCCCTGAGCAGACAAGAGAAGCATTTGGGCGAGGTGGGTATGGCTGGTGGGAGAGTTCAGAATGGGTAGGATTTGAAGGTGTGGCCTGTGTGGGCCACACGATTTTGGTCACTCAAATTTTTTAACACCTGCAAAAAGTTCAGGTCACCAGGTTCTTCCTCTGCACCCCACCGTTTTCGGCCCACCATCAACCCAGGTGTCCCGTGTCTTCAATCAGTGAGAGATTTTTTTCCAGACCACTATAGCCTGTTTCTCTTTTTCTGGTTCATGCTGGTGTTAGGAAAATCCATCCTGCAGTGTTTGCTGTGAGGTTGATGACATAAACAAATTGGTATTAAAGGAAAAGATTAAGTCGTGGAGTGTTCATGGGGAATAAATCCAGGAAAAATGCAGATTTCTGAACACTGCCGAACATGACTGTGGTTCTAAGAGGCTGAAGGTGTCTGCCTAACTCACATCACGTCACTGAACCCAGGACCAGTCCTGGCAGCACAGTAAAATTACCTGCATAGCATTTTACAAATTTCAGTTTCCTAGGCTCCCATCCCAGATTAATTAATTTCTGGAGATACAGCCAGGGCATCAGTATTTTTTGAAGATCCCAGATGATTGTGATCTGCAGCCAAGGTAGAAAGCTGCTATCCTTGACCTTTGGTGTCCCAGAGAGCTGGGGATCACCCCATCCAACTCTCTTCCATCCATGCTGAAAACTTCCAATGTTGAGATTTGTTACCTTTTGTCCGGCCACCTTTGCACAGCTGGGGTTGACTTTTTTTTTATTTTAAATGTTTACTCTAGCTTTTTGAGCACCTGGTATTCACAGGAACTCGTTGGTTGAACTCTTTTTCTTTGTAGATTCTACTACTGTCTTGGTTTGACTCTCTGAGGTCAAGTAGAACCAGTCTAACCTTGCTTCTCTCATATAAGGACCCTCAGATGTGCGATTGTATCTTCAAAGGCAGAGAGAAGCTGCAGGCTATAACACTGCCCACAGAGCCAGATTCCCAGCCAGGACCCCAGCTGCTAAGGGCAAGGACCCTTTGATGTCACAACTGTGGAGGTCTTGATGGAGCCCAAGTCTAGGAGCTTCCTGTGGGCATGAAGTAATAGGCTAGAGCAGGTTCCCGGTGGGTGAGTTGAGGTTGGCACTGAGGTGTTAACTGTGCAGGCATGTGACTGGATGGGGAACAAGGTCAGATTCCCAGGTGGATTTGGGGAGTCTCAGCAAAGGAGCTGTCAGGAGTGGATTCCAGAGGAGTAGGTAGCAAGTGGAGCAGAGGTTGCGTGGCTGAAAGCAGTGTGATGTCAGGGTTGGGCATTCCCTGTCCTGCTTCTTGGCCCCTTGTGGGGGCTAGCTGACAAGGTCATACACCACAGGAGCCCAGGGCTGTTGCTCCAGACACAGCAGAACCCAAGTGTGTCCCACTGTGGTGGCATGAAACACTCACTGGCTTTAGGGTCGGAAGTCCAGAGCTCAAATCCTAGCCCTGGTGCTTGGAAGCTTAGTAACTTGGGACAAGTGATAAAATTCTCTGGGCCTGGAATGCCCCATCTTCTATGTAGGTAGAATAGTAACAGATGGTGTTTCCTGACCATTCACTCTGTGTCACCATAGGTAACACTTTCAGTACTTGATCCTTAACTGTGTGTCTTTGAGGTGTTGCTGTGAGAATCCCCATTTTACAGATGGTAAGGCATTTGGGAGATGAGGTTCTGGGGAAGTACATTGGGTCGTTGTGAGGATTAAATAAAATCATTTGTTGAAATGGCTGAGCACAATGCCTAGCATTTAGGAAGAGCTTTATGAATGTTTTATATTATTTTGGCCTGTGTGTCTTGGGCCTCAGTCCAGCTTTGAACTTTGGGCTTTCTATAGCCACAGTAAAGTCAGTGGGGTTGCCCTGTCTGGGCTGATGATGTGGTCCTCAGAGAGTGAACCTATCCTTATCTTGGTGGGTCTGCTTACGGTTAAGCTTTACCTGGGATCACCACTCTGTTCTAAGAGCTTGAGGTATGTTAGCTCACTGATTCCCACAACACCCCATAGGAGGCAAGTTCTATTAAGAGTCCCATTCTGGCTGGGTGTGGTGGCTCACACCTGTAATCCCAGCACTTTGGGAGACTGGGGTGGGCGGATCACGAGGTCAGGAGATGTAGACCATCCTGGCTAACATGGTGAAACCCCATCTCTACTGAAAATACAAAAAATTAGCTGGGCGTGGTGGCAAGCGCCTGTAGTCCCAGCTACTCAGGAGGCTGAGGCAGGAGAATTGCTTGAACCCGGGAGGTGGAGGTTGCAGTGAGCTGAGATCGCACCACTGTACTCCAGCCTCGGTAACAGAGAGTGACTCCATCTCAAAAAAAAAAAGAGTCTGATTTTGCAGATGGAGAAACTGAGGCAAACAAGTTTGTATCTTATCGTAGATGACACTGCTAGTAGTGGGTAGAGCTGGAGCTGGGGTTCCAGCCAGGCAGTCAGTCTATGTTACACAGATGCAAGGGACAGTGACGGGTCAGCTCTGTGTCAGCTGATGGCCATTTATCAGCTGAATAGGTCTCTACTGTCATAGAAACCACAGGTCTCTACTGTCGATAAAGTGTCTAGTTTGGGCCAGGTACTCCCCATAGGCACATTCTCAGGACAATGCTGCCAAAGGGGCATCAAGGAAAGCTTCATGGAGGAGGCAGCATGGGAGCTGGGCCTTCATGCATAAGGAGGATCTGGATATTTAGAGATTGGTGGATGTGAGGAGGACATCCCGGGAGAGGGGCCCTCTGAATGGTCCCTAGTAGATGATGGAGGAGAAGCCAGGTGTGGGAAGGCCTTCAGGGCCAGGCCACAGTTTGGTCTTTATTCTGTGGGTAAAGAAAGGTAGTGGAGGGAGTGAGTGAAAGGGTCAGCCTCATGCTTTAGGGACACCTGTATGTCTGTAGCCTGAGGGGATAGTTAGAAAGGAGTGGGGGTGGGGAGGCTCTAAGCTGGGCATGGAGGTGGGGACCCAGTTAGGAGGACATGGAATGCTTTAGGCAGAGGCACCAAGGGCCTCAAATACTGCAACTGACTGCTCAGGCAGCTCTCAGATGACACTGGGCAATCGAGAGAAATTGACCGAGCGCTTGTCAGGAGGATAGATTTTTCTGTCAATAGCCGAAACGTCCTCTGTGGGAGTTTGTGAGTTACTCAGTCCATCAGAGCATTTGTCCACATTCTGTCAGAGCCGGACGGAACATGTGCTGGGGTCACGGAGTCTGAGCCGGGAATGGCTCTGCTGGTTGGAGAGTTGGGCGGAGGAGGCCTTGTACAAGTCAGACTGCTTGTTTCTGCTGAAACATGGAGCAGGAAAGGACAGAGCTACCAAGCAGCCCATCCATGAGGAAAGACGTGGGGGACTAAGGAGATGGGGAGGGGGCTGTGTGTGTTCTGGGGGTGGACAGAGCTAGTCACCTGCCCTTGAGATGGAGCTCTCCCATCTGATGGCAGCACCTCGTGGAGTTAGAGACATTCCAGGATGTCCAGGCAAATGATGGCAGTTAGAAAGAAGCCATGTAAAGTTGCTGGTGTCGTAGTTGAAGTCTTCAGAAGACAGCAGTGCAAGAAGGGAAAGGGAAAACCAGGGCTCTGAGCCAACGCGGGATGCTGATCTTCAGAGGACGTCCTTGCAGGGAGAAGCTCTTCGAAAAACAGTAAGTGCTCAGCCTCCTTTAGGTCCCCAGAGGGAAAGAAATGTTAGCCACGATGAAGATGTTTGCTGGGCTCAGTCAAAGAGCCCCTTGAAGATCCCTGGACAATTCCTTACACATTCACCACTCCATCAGAGGGCCACTCTGACCGGCAGAGCTCGCTTTACAGGCTCAGAAGAAACGCTTTGTAAAGATCTAGGAATAATGTTGCCATCAGTCAGCTCCTGCTTGCCGGGCTTCTGTGGGGCTCTGGATCATCTGAAAGCCATCTGTGGTGTGACTGTGAAGTGACGAGATGGTGGGAGTTGGTGTCATCACTTCCTCATCACCCACAGGACAGCTGAGAACGCTGTCACAGCCTGGATGATATTCCCAGGCCTTGGGCCTGAAGGTTGTCAAAGTGCAGACACTCAACCCGGGCATGCTTTGAGGTCTCGCCTACTTGCCCTTTGTCCCTCTGCCTTGAATTTTTTTTTTTTTTTTTTTTTTTTAGACGGAGTCTCACTCTGTCACCAGGTTGGAGTGCAGTGTCGCGATCTTGGCTCACTGCAACCTCTGACTCCCTGGTTCAGGCGATTCTCCTGCCTCAGCCTCCCGAGTAGCTGAGATTACAGGCATGCGCCACCATGCCCAGCTAAATTTTTGTTATTTTTTAGTAGAGACAGGGTTTCACCATGTTGGCCAGGATGGTCGCGATCTCCTGACCTCGTGATCTGCCCGCCTCGCCTTCCAAAGTGCTGGGATTACAGGCATGAGCCACCCTGCCTGGCCTGCCTTGAATTTTGTGTGCAACTTCGACTCAGATTCTTTGTCACCTGCAAACTAGGGTAGAAGTGGGCCTGGTTTTGAAAAGGCAGAGAAACTTTTCTTTATCCAGGCAAACTGTTTTGAGGAATCCTTACAGATGATTAGACTTGAAGCCTCCAGTGGGAGCAAAAATTGTGACAATTCAGAGGATGCTAAATAAGCAGTTTGTAGTAAAAGATTGTAGTCAGTGGTTGAGGAGTGAAGGCACGTTCTTTTTTGTGTGTTTTCTCCCATCACCCCCAAATTAGAAATCTCTCTTTTTTTTTGTATCTGCCTGGCCTTTTTGGGAATGATTATCCTTGAAAATATCTTACCCTTTGCTTTTGATGGTTTCTTCTGATTACATCTGTTTTCTACAGACTAGCAGACACTTAAGAGTATTGGATTTCTTAACATTCGGCAGCTTCTAGTTCCATATATATTCAAGCATTTCTTACTCTGAAAGTAAATTTCAGTTGTATACATTCATTCATTTTGAGAGTCATTTTATGCTTGGACATTTCTGACGACCACCTTCATAGTTATGGGGAAGGGACTTTAGATCTGTGAAGGGTACTGAAACAAAACATATATTTTGTTCATACGTTCTTGTGTCTTCCCAGACTTTTCTTTAAAAAAAAATCCCAAAAAGGGAAATCAGGGCTTCCCTTGCAGAAGGAGGCCTGGCTGCCTTAAAATATCCATATATTTGAATTTCAAAGGTAGGTTTGAATGTGAAATCTAAGGTAACCTTGCATTCATAGTCTAAATTCAGAGTGAGCAAATTAGATTGTCATTATTAAGTCTATTCCTTAGACTTAATTGGGGCATGGCATTTTCTGCCGCTTAGTTCTTTAGTGGTAAAAGGGAACCTTTCCCATTGCTGAATAAAAGACTACTTGAGCCCTTTTGCTGAAGGACTGTGACATTTCCCTGCATTGGTTCTGGGGTTGGATGGTCAAGACATTGACAGGTGGATTTAAGATTACAGGGTGAGACTTGGGGACCATAGCAAGCTGTGTTTCAGATCATCATGCATTCAATTTTTAAATGTTGGCTGGGCGCAGTGGCTTACGCCTGTAATCCCAGCACTTTGGGAGGCCAAGACAGGAGGATCACTTGAGGTCAGGAGTTCGAGACCAACCTGACCAACATGGTGAAACCTCGTCTTTACAAAAATTAGCCGGGTGTGGTGGCACATGCCTGTAATCCCAGCTACTTGGTAGGTTGAGGCAGGAGAATCACTTGAATCCGGGAGGCGGAGGTTGCAGTGAGCCAAGATTGCACCACTGCACTCCAGCCTGGGCAACAAGAGCAAGACTCTGTCTCCAAAAAAAAAAAAAAAAGTACCCATGGTACCTGCTGAAATACTGGCCTGCCTAGGGGCCTATGAGGGAAGCAGTGTGGGCCAGTGTTAGTGCCCAGGGTTAGTCTGGGTTCAGGGTCAGACTGTGACTGTGGGCAAGTCACTTGACCTCTCTGAGCCTGTTTCCTTTTTTTTTTTTTTTTTGCTTTGTTTTTTGTTTGTTTGTTTTTTTGAGACTGAGTCTTGCTGTGTTGCCCAGGCTGGAGTGCAGTGGTGCGATAGCTCACTGCAACCTCTGCCTCCTGGGTTCAAGCGATTCTTCTGTCTCAGCCTCCCAAGTAGCTGGGATTACAGGCGCGCCTCACCGCACCCAGCCAATTTTTGCATTCTTTTAGTAGAGATGGGCTTTTGCCATGTTGGCTAGGCTGGTTTCAAACTCCTGACCTCAGGGGATCTGCCCACCTCAGCCTCCCAAAGTGCTGGGATTACAGGCATGAGCCACCACACCCATCTGAGCCTGTTTTCAGTGAGGATATTGGCTGGGCTCTCACACCTGTAATCCCAGCACTTTGGGAGGCCGAGGCAGGAGGATCGCTTGAGCCCAGCTTGGGCAACATAGGGAGACCGCATCTCTACAAAATAAATTTAAAAATTAGCCAAGTGTGGTGGCATGCATCTGTGGTCTCAGTTAATTGGGAGGCTGAGGTAGCAGGATCACTTAAGTCTGGGAGGTTACGGCTGCAGTGAGCCGAGATGGCGCTACTGCACTCCAGTCTAGGTGACAGAGCGAGACTCTGTCTCAAAAATAAATAAAAAGGATGTTCGTTTCTGTCTTGAGATGAGCTGAGAAGGTGCCTGTGAATAGACTGTATTGTTGCCCTAAAAATGTTGTAGACTTGGTTTTAGGTCAAAAAGAGTGACTGGAAACAGTGAGAGAGCAACATGGAGAGGCTTAAAAGTTGTTACCCTGGGAACCCAGTGGTGCCCTCCTAGGGAAAAGCACCTAAAACATTTGGCAAAACCAAAAACTGGAAATTACCTAAATATCCAGCCATGGGAAGTGGCTAACGTGTGGCCTAAAGTGAGAGGGAATACAGCCAACAAAAGCTGAGTTGAGTAACTCCACTGCAATATCGTTAAGATGGAAAACACTCAACAATGTAATACTTTTTCATTTTTTGTATGTGTATTTATCATTATTATTTTGAGGCAGGGCCTTGCTATGTCACCCAGGCTAGAGTGCAACAGTGCCATCATAGCTCACAGCAACCTCCACCTCAAGGGCTGAAGAGATCCTCCAGACTCAGCCTCCCACGTAGCTGGGACTACAGGCACTCACCACCATGCCCAGCTAATTTAAAAATTTTATGTAGAGTCAGGCTCTCACTGTGCTGCCCAGGCTGATCTCAAACTCAAGTGATCCTCCCACCTCAGTTCCCAAAGTGCTAGGATTACTGGCATGAGCTGCTGCAACTGGCCAGAAGTAATACTTTTTTAAACGCAGGATATAAAAAATGATGAATATTTGTATTCTTTTCCAATTACTGCATTCCCACCGACATATGTAGAAAAAAGACTGGAAGGAAATCGACCAAAATGTATACACTGGTTATCGCTGGAAGGTTGGAATATTTTACAGTTTTTAAAAACAAATGCAAATCATTTAATTACTATTGGAAATTTTTTTGAAGTGGTAACATTGCAAGCACAACGTGAGGAGGGGGATGAGAAGGTGAGGTAAGGGAGCACAGGCTCTCCACCTCCCAGCAGAGTTTTTGCTGGGGCCATCTGAATGAGTTGTTGAACTTCAAAGCCGCTGAGTGTCTCATTGTGTTGGAATGCTGGCGATGAGGATCACAGGAAGTGGTGACAAGCCCTTTGTTATATAAGCTCACCAGGCTTGCTCATTGGTGCCAGCTTTGGCCCTTAGTGTTCGATCGGGACTTTATCTGTCTGTGTCCGGGGCCACAGCGTTAGCTCGGGCAAGGACCTGTGCGGGAACTGCATAGTCAGGCACAGGAAGCTGCAACTCACACCCTTGTTTGCTTAACACCCACTGGCGCATTGGGCTATTCCATGAAAGGAGAAAGGACAAAGTGGAGGGATTTACTGGCGCTATTCCTGACCTGTAAAGATGGGGGATTTTCCCTTGCCTCTTTGGAAGAAATCTGTCTCACATCCTCCAAAAGCAAGAGCAACCTGCTTTTTGATCTGCTGCTGTTTCTCAGTTCCTGTTAGTTCTGTGTTTATAATTGTGGTCCTGCTGAAGGCATTAGCCAAGAGGGGTAGGAATGTTGCAGTTCCAGAGCCAGATTGCAGTTTTCCCCTCTGTTAACTTCCCTGTTGGAGGCAGGCAGGGCCATTCCTCACACAGGACAGGTGCTCAGTGAAGCCTTGCAGTCTCCAGTTTTCTGCACCGAAGGGGAGGTGTGTGTACACACTTGTGGGTAAGAAGATTGGACCGCTGCAACTAGAAAATAGCTCAGCCTTGTGCCTGAAGTGATTAGCTGCTTTCAGTTGAGCACTTACTGTATGCTATACTCTGCTGGGTGCTTCAGGTACATCTCTCATTGGAGTCCTCACAGGAATTGTGTAAGGAAGATACTATTTTTCATACAAGTAAGCAGACTTGGAGAGGTCAGGGGACATACCCAAGGCCTGCCAAACTTCTCTGTTTTTATTGACATTCCTGTGTTATCTGGATACCAGGGACTGGACTCTTGGAGAACATGAACTCATTTTTCACTCATCCCCCACAGCTGGCACTGAACCTGAAACACTGGCCACTTTGGGTACGTTGAACCTTGAGGTGCCATGGCTAGGTGATGTTGGCAAGGCCCCTCCCCTCCCTGGGCCACAGTGTCTGCATTTGTAAAAAGGCCAGGTGTTCTTTTCTCTCACCAGGCCCCATCTTTTCCAAAAACTTCCCAGGACAGCCCTTAACAGCCCTCTCCAGACCGCAGGTTCCTGTGGAATGTGGTTTGTCTTGTAAGAGGTAGTCATAAGCCACAAGCGACGAAGGGATTTTTACTGTCAGGCCTGTCAGGCCGAGGCCCAAACATTATATGACTGTTGTCCCCAATTAATGAGACACAAGAAACCAAGTTGTGCAACTTTACAATGAAGCCACATCTCATTGCGATTTCAATTCCTTCCGTGTTAGAGGCTTGCGTCCTGCCCCTGGCAAGTTTGTATGTTTCATTGCTTGGCGTGATCACCCACCTTTTCACCTAAATTGGTTTGGAAAAGCCGTGGGCAGTTTCTAGAAATTAAATCCACTCCAGAGTATGGAAGATTGACCACCCAAGATGTTCAGAGGAATGTGGTGTCTCCTGAGGGCCCTACTCGGAGAAGGAGGACCCGGGGGGGCTTCGAGCATCAGTATATTGCCCTCAGGGCAACTGCTTGTTCTTGTTTGCCTGTATTCAATTCTTATGTGTCTAACACAGAGGTCACAAACTTTTTCTGTAAAGGGCCAAATAGTATTTCAGGCTTTGCAGCAACACGGTTTCTGTTGCCTCTGTTCACTTCTTCAGGGAGCCACAGACAATATATAAATGAGCAGGCCTGGCCACGTTCAGCAATGCTTTACTTACAGAAGTGAAGCTTTGCCCAACCCTGGCTGAAAACATTAGGTGCCTCTTTTCTTTTTTTTTCTTATCTCGGCTCACTGCAACTTCCGCCTCCCGGTTTTGAGCGATTCTCCCACCTCAGCCTCCTGAATAGCTGGGATTACAGGCACACACCACCACGCCTGGCTAATTTTCGTATTTTTAGTAGACACAGGGTTTCATCATGTTGGCCAGGCTGGTCTTGAACTCCTGACCTCAGGTGATCCGCCCTCCTCTGCCTCCCAAAGTGCTAGGATTACAGGCGTGAGCCACCTGTGCCTGGTGCCTCTTTTCATAATCATGACCCATGTTAACTTGTAATCTCTGTGTTTTATACATACCCATTTTGACCTGATTGTTTTGACCCCACTCCCTCTTGGTTTCTTTCAAGCTGTCTCTGGCCTAGACACGCTAGAAGATCTTTAATCAATCTTTACATTGCACAGAAGTTGCCCACGTTCTCATGTCAAAAAACATACGTCTTTTTAAAATGCACCGTTTTTATTGTACCTGTGTTGTGCTGTGTAGGATCTCACGTTGTATAGTCAGGTTCATTACAAAGTGGTAGGAAATTGATATGTTGTCAAATTGTTTATTGTTGTGGCTTTGTTTTTTTTGGAGACAGGGTCTCACTCTGTTGTCCAGGCTGAAGCGCAGTGGCACAATCCCGGCTCACTGCGACCTCTACCTCCCAGATTCAAGAGATTCTCCTGCCTTAGCCTCCCGAGTAGCTGGGATTACAGGTGCGCGCCACCTATCGGCTAATTTTTATATTTTTAGTAGAGACTTGGGGGTGGGGGGGGTCTCACCATGTTGACCAAGCTGGTCTCGAACTCCTGGCCTCAAGTGATCCACCCACCTCAGCCTCCCAGAGTGCTGGGATTACAGGCGTGAGCCACCGCACCTGGTCGTTGTGGCTTTTACAAATGTTACTAGAAGAAAAGTTCCATACCTGATATCCCATGTGGCTGTAGTCTTGACCCTTTTGATTTGTCCTTTATCTTCTGTCTTCCAAAAGTGAGTCTGGACGTGTCATCATTTAGACACTACCCATGGCTTCTATCATGTCCAGACTCATAGCTTGACATTCCAGCTGACCCTTACCTCTTGGAAAGGCTTCTTTTTACTCCATCCCTTCCATGACAGCCAGCTGGGAACCTCTGACCTTGTGCCAGGATGCAAGGCTCACCTGTATGCCTCTGTGTCTTCACTTGTGTGTCACACCTTTATCCTCCTCATCCTCTTAAGTTCAGCTCAGCTGTCCTGCCATTTGGGAGGCTTCCTGACCTCCCACCCCTCCCTCCTCTGTGTACACATGTCCACACCTCTGGCGGAAGCAGTCACACCATGTCATGGCTCCTGGAGAGCCACAGTGAGAGCCCTGCACCTTGCACGGGGCCTGACCCCAGAGTGGATGCAGGAGTGCTTGTCAGATAAGTGATCTCAGAGAGGTTGATTGAAGAGCCAGTATGCTGTAAAACCCCAATAGTCCCCAAATTGCCAGTAACTCCAACAAGGGAAAAAACCTCCAAACTCCAGTGCCCTCCAGAGCAGCCAAGACTCTACATTTTAGGCTTCTAGTGGCCTCATGCAGGCCTGTGCTGCCTGCCTTTTGGTGTGGTGGTGGGCATTGGAAAGAGCAGCTTTGATTCTCCTCAGTGGCAGGTGGGAGTGATGATTAAAAACAGTTAGTAATTACCACCTCCTCTATGGAGAGCTTTTAGCTGGGGACTTGTGTGTGATCTGCAAAGGATTCAGGACCCATGAGACCTTAGGAGTGCTTCAGCTCCTTCAGCATCATGCTTGGCACATAGTAGGTGCTTAGTAAACGTCTTATAGATGAATAAATGAATTAGATTAGAAAGAGACTTTTCTGGAAAGAGTTGTTGCAGCCAGATTGAAGGGCTGCAAATACCATACTAAGGAGTTAATTGAGCCTTTGGCCCACAGGCAGTGGGACTCCAGGACAGGTTTGTGCAGGGAGGGACGTCTGCACAACATGTGTCGCGCTCACCCCATTATTTGCCCTTTCCGGTGTGACTGAGTTGCCAGATAATGAGGTGTTGGGCTGCACAAAGCGCTTCCTTGTGCTAGAGAGAGGCAGGGCCTGCCTTGAAGCCAGTTGGCCACCGGCCTCCTCCCTGTAATTTATGTGCAGTGGCAGGTTAGAGTGGGCTGCCAGGCAGAACCAGGGCATGCCCGCTTCTCCAGGTCAACACCTTGGTGTGCTGGTTCCAGCATAGGGGCCATGGCCCTGGATTGAGGCCTGGCCCTGAGCTTTCTCTGCCACCAGTGCGTTCAGGGAGAATGGTTTCTTTTCTTAATTTTTTTTTTTTTTTGAGACGGAGTTTTGCTCCTGTTCCTCAGGCTGGAGTGCAATGGCATAATCTCTGCTCACCTCAACCTCCACCTCCCGGGTTCAAGCCATTCTCCTGCCTCAGCCTCCCAAGTAGCTGGGATTACAGGCATGTGCCACCACACCCAGCTAGTTTTGTATTTTTAGTAGAGATGGGGTTTCTCCATGTTGGTCAGGCTGGTCTCAAACTCCCGACCTCAGGTGATCCCCCCGCCTCGGCCTCCCAAAGTGCTGGGATTACAGGTGTGAGCCACTGCACCCGGCCAGGGTGGATGATTTCTATGGCAGGGGAAGGGGGAGCCCCACTGACCCTCGATACCTCTCCCCTCCAGCTCCATGTTCCCAGACTCAGACACCTTGCGTTTCTCTCCCATCTAAAGGTGGCTGCCTTCACAGCGGTGCTTCCAGTGATCACTTTTTCAGGGAGGATGCAACTCACTGCTTTCAGACAGGGAAATGCACAGTTAAGATGTCAGTCCCCAGAATCTAAGTACATGGAGCAGTTATCCTGTTCAAAGGAGGCTGTTGTTTTGTCTTTGTTTTTGGTTCAGTCCCCTATGTGTCTACTAGGTAATATCCCCAGGCATAGGCACAGTGGGGAATGCAGGACAGGGCACTGTGGCATAGGCAGAGAGAAGCTGGGGGCAGAGCATTGGACACAAGGACTTCCACTGCAAAGCAAGACAGGGTGTTGCAGTGTGTCAGATGGATTGATTCTGGGAGAGTAATCTGGGCAGGCTACTTGGAGGAGGTGGTTTTGGTCTGGGCTTGAACACTGGGTAGGGGAAGAATGAAATGTACTCTAGGCAGAGAGCACAGCTTGGCCAAAAGCACGGAGTTTGGCAAGGACAAGTTGGGTCTGGTGAGAAAGGTAGAGGACTGGAGCTCAGAGTGGGAACAGGTGGGGTTGTGGGCGGTCTGGCAGACCGGGGGAGTTTGAGCAGCTCCTAGAGCATGGCCAGAGACTTAGCTGGGTAGTCATGGGTCTGAGGAGTCTCTGTGACTGCAGGGAGTCTGGGAAAGCCCAGAGCCTGGCCTGGCCTGGGGCGGACATTTGGTGGGGATAGTGAGAATTAACAGGAATTCGACTTCGAGGCTGGGCCAGGTCGCCCCAGGAAAGCCCATGCTTGGCCAGGCTGGAATTGGGCCCCTGCTATTCTGGCTGTGGCTGCTGCTTTCTTGGCCCAGCCTTCCAAGAGCCTGTCACAAGTGATTTCCGAGGGAAGCCAACAGAGGAGCATGGTGGAAATGTCACTCCCTTGGAGGTAGATCCCCTCTTAAACACCCAGCTGAAGGTGGAGGCAAGAGAGTGCTAACCCCTGCACCGGCACTTTCCAGCTTGCTTTGAGCTGCCCCAGGAGGCAGAGAGACTGGGGATTCCCCCTTCCCATTTTAGGGTTGGAGAAGTGAACTTCTTGGTCACCCAGAAGTCAGTGAATACCTGAGCGGGACTGGGGCCTCCCCACTCTGGACCCAGTGTGTTACGCACAACACTGCTCCTCAGTAATTAAAGGGCATGTGTGCAGTTTGGAGGTGAGGTTAGCAATTAAACGATAACTGAAGATGATGGGTGATTTCTGGATCTACTAGTACATAGTGAGCTCTTACTGTGTCCCGGGCACCATGCTAAACTCTGCCTTGCTTTGTTGCAGCAACACTCGTGGGTAGGTATTTTCGTTACCCTGATGAGGAGACAGGGGCACAGAGGGTTTAAGTAACATACTTGGTGACCCGGCACAGGACAGATGTGGCAGTCCCACCCTAGGGCCTGCGCTCCAAACCTTGATGCCTTCTGGGCGAAGCCAGACGTCGGCACGTTTCCCCCGTCTGCCCCAGTGCTCCTAGCGTGCTTTATAATTAGAACAGACTGCAGCGCCAGCTAATGACTTCCTCATGAGATTAATATTCAGAAACTCGGGAGAAAATTGAAGAACAAGAAAGGAAATAGGTAGAGAATGAGGTTGTTTCCACTAAGGCCCAAAGCACTATTTAAAAAGTATGTTTGAGAGCCGACTTCGGCTGCGTTTTGGCAATCAGAAGGCTTGCACTGTACCTCTCCTCTGCTTGTGCTTCGGGCATTCAGTACCGGCCCCTGTCACGACCTGTTTGTGGAGGGCAGCTGATCACATCCCTCCTGTCAAAGCATAAGCCTGAACCAGTTCCTCGACTTCTCAGAACCACCAGTGGCTTCCCACTGCCTTTGGGAATAATGTTGAGTTGCTTTAACCTGGTATCCAAATCTCCACCCCACCACCACCCCCAATGAGGTTTTCTCCACCTCCCTTTTCTTCCCCGAACTCACCGAAGTTTTATACCTCTGCACTTGCCTGTGCCCATTTCTGAAGCAGGCATGCCCTTCTCCTTCCCATCACCCATCCAGCCTAGCAAATGCAGGTTTGCCTCAGATCCTGCTAGTTGGCAAAACTCTGTCCCAACGCAGTCTCCCTCTTGCCCCATACCCATAGGTCATGCCTGGGCCTTGCTTGTGACTACCTGGCCCATCTCATGTCATAGTGGTAAGGTCACTTTAGGTCTGAGTCCCTTCCCCATACACAGCCCCCGCCTGACTGGTGGATTCACCGGTGCGTGTGCATGGTTATGGGAAGGGAGCTGGGGTAGAACCTTTACTGGGCAAAGGTAAAATGCAGGCTCTTGATTAGGGAAAAGGGCTTTCTGGGTATCAGGCATGAAGGGGAAAGGCTTGTTTCAGTTTGTGTAGAAAGAGAGAAAAGGACTTGGTGGTGGCCACTTTTGACCCTCCATCCCTGCCCAGAAGAAACTAAGCTGTGGCTTGTTAGCCTGGAGAAGAGGACTTCGGTAAGGACAAATGTCCTCAGACCTTCTCTGCTTGAGTCCCACCAGGTGCACAGTCCTGTGGAAGTTAACTCTAAGCGTCCCTGGGGCAGTATCTTCCACCCCAGCCCTGCCACGTGTCCCCAGTGTGGCTTTATTCCCACCTAACCCCACCCCGCACCCTCCCTTGCCACTCATCTTCCAGAGTGCACATCACACCTCTGCTCCAATACTTTCATGCTTCCTCCATTTATGGCAAAGCCCCAAAGACTTTAGCATCTAGAGCCCTCAAAATCTATCCCCAAACTCCTTTTCTTCATTTTGCTCTATACCTCCCCACAAACTCTGCAACGTTGTAAACTGGTCTCTTGACTGCCACTTTCCTCACTTGCAGCCCCCCCACCGTAGTGTGCCCTATTGCTGATACCCCTGCCTGAGCCCAGGAAAGACCGCCACCTCCTCCAGGAAGCCCTCCCAGCCACTCCAGCACTACCTGCCTGTCTGCCTGCCCGCCCACTCGCTTGCTGTTGGTGGTATGGCATGCAGTGGCTGGGGACAGGGGTAGCTCTTCACTTGAGCAGAGCAGCGGAGCTCTGGCTGACCCTGTGCCCTCTCTGTCCCTCCACTGCACTGCATGGGTGCCGACACATGTCTGGGGAGGCCTCCCTTCCCAAGCCCCCCCTTTAGGGATAACGGCCGGCATTCATGTGGCAGCTTCCCACCGTGGTCTGGTTTCCTCCTCACGACAGCCCTCAGCGGACCATCATCTCTGTCTT